>NW_012132915.1:320830-481245 GCF_000001405.40 Homo sapiens
TCTCAGAAAGAAACATTTAATAGAGACTTAAAAACAGAAGCCGTGTCTGTGTCTCTGACAGTAGGCAGATAAGATGGTCAATCACTTGCCATGACCCCTCTCAAATAGGGCTTGTATACCATAGGAGACCAGTGATTCAGAAAGGATGTGTACGACAATCAAAGAATGATTACATCAAGGTTGTTTAAGGGCAGGATTTATGCTAAGTACTTGCTCTTAAATAAGATAAAATAGATAAACTGAAAATCTTAGAGACCGTCCCAGAACTCAGGTTAATCAGAAGTCAGACATGGAAAATTAGCATCCAAGATGGGGTTGCTTTGGCCTCCACCCTAGATATAATAAAAGTTTGACAGTACTGAGTACTGAAAAAGATTGACAGCAATTGAGACTTTTAGGACGTGGTTGGTTTCATGTAAACATGTTCAGCATTTCAGTAAACTATTGTCAATGTTTACTAAGACAAATTCTATGCTAACTTTATAACTCAACACTTCCATTCTTAGGAATATTCCCAAGAGAAATGAGTGCATAAGTTCACAAAAGACAAGCACAAGAATGTTCTTAAGGTTTTTACCAGTAATATTCTTAAACCAAAAACAAATAATTAGTTGAAAAATGAATATATTTTGGCATATTCATGGAAAATTGTTCCTCAATAAAAAGGCACAAATTACTGCCAGAGAAACAACGCAGATGAAGCTCAAAAATATTTTGACCAAAATAAGCAAGACGTCAAAGAGTAAATACTGTATGATTGAAATTATATAAAGCTTAAGTATAGGAAAAATTAATAAATATTGATATAAAATACAGTGGAAGCCTAGGATGATGATAGATGGAACACGGAATTGACAGGGAAGTAAACTGGGGAGATATTTGAGATGCTGGGAAGAGTGTGGATCTTGATCTGGGTAGTGTTGGAAGAAGGTGGGATCGGAGCATAAATGTTTACAGTATACATATAGGTGCAATATGTTTATCTGATATGTTGTTGGCTGAACATACTTATATGTGTATGTACTTATGTCTGATCTTTGAAAGGTCATAATTTAGACTCTAATCCCCTGTATCAAAAAAAATTCTTTAAAAATATGTAGAGTACCTTCTCCTTTTCTGTATAAGTCTGACTTTTGCTGCAATCTAGACCTCCTAGGTTTAATTTTCTTTGTCCTTTATTAATAATAATCAGGAGAGATACTTGCATATCAGCTGATGGAGCTGAGGATAAAGAGAGATAGAATGTAAATGTGCCTCCCTGACCCCTTCTACCAAAACTTCCCAGTGAGCTTCAAACCTTGGCTGCATCTGAGAACTGCTGTCAGCAGAGGGCGGCACCAGGAGGAGCAGCTGGGGCAGCCCAGACTCACACATCTACTTCCCTCCATGGTTTATGTTCGGGCTTGTATCACAGTGGGAGGGGCACTGTTATACTTTTGACAGTAATAAGTTGCAACATCTTCAGGCTGCAGGCTGCTGATGGTGAGAGTGAAATCTGTCCCAGATCCACTGCCACTGAACCGAGATGGGACCCCTGATTGCAAAGTGGATGCAGCATAGATCAGGAGCTTAGGAACTTTCCCTGGTTTCTGCTGATACCAGGCTAAATAATTGCTAATGCCCTGACTCGCCCGGCAAGTGATGGTGACTCTGTCTCCTACAGATGCAGACAGGGAGGATGGAGACTGGGTCATCTGGATGTCACATCTGGTATCTGATATTAGGAACATAAAAACACATATCCACATGATTAGTAATGTTCTAAGAAGAATTTCCTGAAGTGCCAGGCATTAGTGGCTACACTGGCTGAATAAAATTTTTGTTGTTTCCCTCCTTACCTGGGAGCCAGAGCAGCAGGAGTCCCAGGAGCTGAGCAGGGACCCTCATGTCCATGCTGTGTCCTGACTGAGAGAGACTTCTGCACAGGATGTCACCAGCCTATTGATAAATGTTCAGGGCAGTAGGCGTTGCTCTGTGGGACATGCAAATCTGCACAGCTGCAAAGATGTCTTATCTCAATAACACTGCACAGGCCCAGTGCCTCCCAGGTGTCCAAAGTCTGCAGAGCATGTGTTTCTCCCTGCAGGCTACAGGACAGAATCAGCCTACTGTCCTATATGTGGAGTGTTCTTTTGCTCTCTTCATGTTTCATGACATGCTTCTCTTGCTAGCTTTCTATTTATGACAAGGTCTGCTAGGGAAAAACATCTCTAGAAACTCAAGACATTTTAGAAGTTTCCTGCATTTGATACAGATGAGTACTATTAAGGTCAGAGAGACTTCCTTTTTGGTCCAATTCCCTGGAACCACCAGTGCTGTAAATTGTCAGTGCTACCAACAATGGATGCATTAAGGTATAATCATGAATGATAGATAGATAGATAGATAGATAGATAGATAGATAGATAGATAGATAGATTTGCTCATTAAAAAAGAAATAAAAAACTTAAAAAAAACCTAATACTTGAAAATAGTGCCACAGCAAGGAAGGGTCCTGCCACTGGCTATCTGGCATAGCTAATCTCCCATCTCCAGACACATAATTGTTATCCTCCATATCTGAATGTTCTTTCCTACCTCTTTCAGCTGGGCCAGCCAACATGATAAATTTTCTCCCTTTACTTCTGAAAGTTCTCAGCTATATTCTAGCTCTGTATGCCATCCTACAGTCTCATGCTAGATATTTCCCTGTGCTCCCTGAATTTTATTTATGCCTTTTATTTCTCTTATCCAAGCCATTCCCCTTCAGAAGCTGAGGTGTCCTCTAAACCAAGTTGTCACCCTCTATCCCTGTGACTACTCTGTTTCTTATACCTGCATATTTCCAAATCACCAATCTCTTCCAGCTCCTAAGAGAAAACAGTTCTTAGTGACTGGGTTTAGGGCACTTGATCCGAGCAGGTTCAGAAAGAAAACTATGCAACAAAAAGCCAGGGAATTGTATGAGATACTGAGCCTACACAGTATAGAAAGTGCACCCGTGTTGTGGGGTGTAGAGGAAAGCCCACCTGGGCGTTGAAGCTATAGTTAGCAGAGACAAGTATCCCTACCTGGGTGTGCAGGATGCAAGACCCCTCCTCCCACTTATGCAGGACATCACAGCTGGATGAGGATGAGCAGGACAGTCACAAGGGTGGAGGACACTGTTGCTAATGTCAGAGCCCGGGGGGGAAAGGGCAGCTATGCAGAGATGCAAAGTTCATGGTGGACTGGCACGGAGTATCAAGACTAATGAAGGTGTGTGAGGCATAAGAGGGAAGTTGTCCACAAGGAAAGTTTAGGTGACAGGGACAGTGGGAGATTGGTGTCACACAAAATGTTTGATCATTTAAGTAAATATGGTATGAATAATTACAGCCAAGATTCTCAGTTTGGAAAAAAGCTACAAATATAAAAAAGGAGAAACTGTAGATTTGGATTGTAATTAGAGACATTAATGTAGATTCATTAATTTTTTGGATAGTTTTATACGGATATAGATTAAAACATATGCAGATAGACAGGTAATTTTTCCTAGAAGCAGTAACACACAAGTCTCAATAAACACCTTGAGTGCTCAAATCTTGTTTTATTGAATATCAATCTCTATTAAAAAGAATAATTACTGGAAAAATATCTGATATCAGGTTTAGAGCAGAAAAAATATAAGATAAGCCTGCACTTCTTGTGTCAGAAACTAAGGAAGTGCTCAGAAAATGATGGGGTAAGAGAAAAAGGTATTAGGAACTAGCTTGAATGGGGCTCCCCTTGGACAAAATAGGGGAATGTTGACTCTGAAAATAAATAATGACAGTAACATATTTGTTTCAGTCTGTGCTGTTATAACAGAATATTTGAAACTGGGTGATTTATCTTTTCAGTTAGAAATCTATTTCTCACAGTTCTGGAGGTGGGAAAGTCCAATACCAAGGTGCAGTTATCTGGTAAGGTCCTTCTGGCTGCATCTCCATGGTGGAAAGGCAAGACAGAGTGAGTAAGAGCAAGAAGGGGTCAAACTTGTTTTTATAAGTAACCCACTCTCACTATAACAAACTCACCCCCATCATGATGACATTAACCATTCATGAGGGCAAAGCTCTAGTGACCTAATTACCTCTTAAAGTTTCCACTTCTCAACATGGCTGCACTGGGGAGTAAATTTCTAACAAATGAACTGAGGAGGATACATTCAAATCACAGCATTCCACCCTACTCTCTCCAGTTCATGTCCTTTTCACATGAAAAACACATTCATTTTATCCCAATAGCACCTAAAGTCTCAATTTGGTCCAGCATCAACTCAAAAGTCCAAAGTCCAGAGCCTCATCTGAATCACATATGGGTGAGATTCGAGGCACTATTTATCCCAGGCAAATTAATTCCAGCTATAAGCCTGTGAATTATCAAGTTACATGCTTCCAAAATACAATTAGCCCTCCCTACCCATGGGTTTTACATCCACAGATTCAACAACCATGGATTGAAAATAGAGTATTCAGCAGATGCAGAATCCACAGATGCAGAGGGTATACTTTTCATATTTGCAGGTTCTTCAGAGCTGACTGCAGGACTTGAATGTCCACAAATTATGGTATTTGTGGAGGACCCTGGAACCAATTCTCCATGGAAACTGAGGGACAACTGTACAATGGTGGGGCAGGCATAAGATAAACATTCTCATTCCAAAAAAGAGAGATAGGTAAAAAGAAAGGGTTAACTGGTCCCAAGTAAGCCCAAAACCCAACAGGAAAAACATTAAGTCTTAAAGGTGGAGAATAATCTTTGACTTCAAATCTCATATCTGGGGCAATCTGGGGTGGGAGTTGGTTTACCAATGCCTCAGGCAGCCCCACCTCTATGGTTTTACTGGGCTCACTTCACCCAGAAGCCTTCATGGGTTGGAGTCTTGTGCCTGCATCTTTCCCAGGCTGGAGTTGCATGCTGCTGGCCCTACAATTCTGTGGTCTCCCAGGCTGCCTCACTTTCATGGCTCTACTAGATATTGCCCTAGCAGGGATTTTCTGTGGAGGCTTTCTCCCTGCTACAAGTCTCTGCCTGGGATCCAGTATGTCCATAGCCTTTCCCAAGACTCAATCTGGCATTCTCCTTGCTGGGAATCCAGAGCCACTCTCCGGCTATCCTTTTTGGAATTCAGCCCTAAGCCCCTGGAAGCTTTTCTTTTAAACCCTCCAAACACAACCTCTGACAGGAATCTGGCTGGAACAGTCGGCATCTTCAGCAAAAACAACTGAGAAGGAGAGGAACCCTGCAAACACCACATTAGTGTAGAGGAAATGCATACAAACCCTAGATTTCATGTTTTCTCCAACTGTTTTTTCCAGTTTCTTAACCATGATTCTGTTTCTATGATCTTGAAGGATGGAGACATTAAGAAGAACAAGGAGCTGTTTTATGCTTAAGATATAAAAAGAGAAATGGAGACAGGAAGAGAGCAGAATTTATACATTCTTCAAAGTGGTTTGGATTTCTCTAACCATGGGCATAGAATGACAAAGATGTTAGGAGAAGACATCACTTTTTCTGATTTCCTGTTTTTTTTGTGTCTTAGACTCCCATAAACACAAATAAGAACCCAGTCAGTCTCTTTCCCTTGAATATTTTTTCTGGATAAGTTAAAATAATTTTAGAAGCAATTGCAAGAAATGATAGCAATAGCTGAAGCAGAGATAAGAATTCTGAAGTTTGGAACATTTGAGGTTGGTGCAGCAACTTGGTGACAGCAAAAGGACCCAGGTTTTTGCTACATTTCTTCTTTGCACTTCAGTTTTTCAGTCTTGGGTTCAAAGCCTCATGATCTTAGGAGGGCTGCAGTGCCTCCAAGTATCAATGTGCACGCATACCTGTTTCAGGAAAAAAATGCAGGACAAAGCTCTTCACCTTCTATGCCTTTATGAGGGATCAAAGTCCTTCCCTGAAGTGCTGCTCACCTCTGACATCTCATTGTGGAGCTCATGTGCCCCACTCCCTGCTCCTCTTCATTGTCCTTGCCATGTGCAGCAGGACGAAGCTGGTCCCTTATACGCCCAAGGAGAGGGGATGGCTGCTGTGTAGGTGCCAAGAGTTTTGCGATGTTTATATTTCACTATGTGTCTAAGTTAAGTTGCATGGGAAAGAGAAAGTTCAAGGGCCTCTTTATGTGGTGGGATTGGAGTGGGCCAGACCCTGAGGATGACAATGAAGTCAAATTTCTAGTTTTTCAGTTGCCAATGCTGGCTTCACTAGTTAAGGAAATGTGGCCTGTGCAATTAAGACCAGGACAGACTTTCAGGTACTGGAATAAATGGGGGAGATATTTGGCATAGGGTCCTCAGTCCAGGACTAATGTTTGCATTACCCAAGCTGCCGGTCACTGGCCCTGGTCTGTGGCAGTAGCAGCTTCTCTCCTGAACCATGGGGCTGAGGACCTGGGGGGAACCACAGGCCCTATCCACGGGGCTGCATGGAATGGGGCTTCAGAGAAGGAAACTGCTCACACACCCACGGGTGCCACACCAAGCCCAGTGCCCGAGGTCAGGATGAAAGTCTCTGAGACCAGAGCCTTAGGGCTGGGCCTGGGCTCCTGGGGCTGGCTGTCCTCAGCTCTGTCCTCACTGGTCCTGAGACACCAGGACCCTGTTGGAGCCAAAGAGGGAGAGTCAACAAATGTCCACAGACTTTACTCAGCGAGCCTCTGTTCTGCTTAGAAATAAAAGGAACACATGCTACAAAAATAATGAATATATGGACATACTGTGTAAACTTTTAAATTAAATAGATATAATATTATGGATATAAATTATTGATGTATCTGTATATAATATGTATCTATATTATACATCTACATAATATGTATATTTATATAGAAATAGATATAACTGTTGGTATAAGGTATGATTTCAAATTTGATAAATTGAGCATGAACATTTAAAACCAGCAATAGCACACCATAAACATGATCCTTCCTGACTTCCTGAAGGTCAGGAAGCTCAGGACCTTTCCCCATGTCCCTGTTGAGCAGGACAGAGAGCCCCCAAGACCCAAGGGGGGTGTGGGGAACACAATCAGCAGGTGGCTGGGAGATGGGCAGTGGGTCTGGGCCCTGATTGGAGAGAAGTTTTGTTCCCAGATCTCCGAGTAGACAGTTCCTCCCCTGGGGGCTCTTCTCAGACACAGCAGCACATGTGACTCAGTGGCTGTGTAGTCACAGGGTCACAGGACAAAACCCTTCCACTTGACAATTGGCAGCTTCTCCTCTGACTAGAGTGATGTGGGATCTCTCTGCCCAGCTATCATGGCTCATGTGGCTGCTGACATCCTCTTCACAAAACGAGACGCCATGAAGGCAGCTCAGCTGCTGATGGCCCGAGTGAACTCTGTCCAAGCCCATCACCCCTGACCCAACAGGCATTGTGTAGAGTAGGCAGCAGGAGCCAGCAGAAGCTCAGAGCCAGCTGTGGCTTCTGCTGGTGCCAGGCTAGAACATTGTTGAGACTATGGCTGGCCCTGCAGGTGACAGTGACCCTCTCTACTAGTACACATGAAGAGGGGCTAGAGACTGTCCATCTAAATGTGGAATAAACATGAACACCCCAAATATTAATACCAAGCATGTAGTTTGTTCAGTTTGGTTAAATTCTATTCAGAAAATAAAACAGGCTAATTAACTGATTGTCAAGGAAACATTCCTGTTTATTGCAAACAAACTGAAGATGAAGCCTGAACCCTCCCTTCTTCCTCAAGAGAGAGAACAGCAGGAGGAATAGGAGCAAAGCTGGGTCCCCACATCCATGAGATATTTCTTGATGCTGATCCTGCTCAGAGAGGGTGGGGATAGTGAATGAGTCTTCTTTCACTGCAACACCAAAATACTCTGGGTGGGTGGCTTGAACCATAGACATTTATTTTCACATTTCTGATGGCTGGGAAGTCCAACATCAAGGTCCAGCAGGGTTCACTTTCTGGTAAAGACCTTCTTCCTGGTTTGTAGATGCTACCTTCTCACCATGCTTTCATATGGTCTTTCCATAAGAGTGTGGGAGTTAGAGAGAGAGGAAAAAGAGAGATCTCTGGATCTTATGAGAACCACTAATCCTATTGGATCAGGGCCCCACCCTTATAACTTCCATTATATTCTTATAGGTCCTATCTCCTACAGCCACGTTGGAGATTAGACCTTCAACATGAATGTGGGAACACAATTTAGACCACAGCAGGTGGACACAGGTAAGGCAGTAGGGAGGGAAAGGATATGCTTTCAGCCTCCAAGCACAGAGCAGGTTCCCCACAACTCAGCACACTGGCAGCTCATCCCAGATGTCCCAGGTCACACATGAGACACCGTTCTAGATTTAGGGACTTCCCATTGATAATGGGACACTATCAGTCTTATTTTCCCAGTGTTTCTAAGACCTTGGTGTTC
The DNA here is from genome assembly GCF_000001405.40 of Homo sapiens. Lineage (NCBI taxonomy): Eukaryota > Metazoa > Chordata > Mammalia > Primates > Hominidae > Homo > Homo sapiens. The sequence continues at coordinate 329,229 of NW_012132915.1, forward strand.
TTTATTGTTTATTGTGGAGTGTGTTTACACCCAGAGACAGGTTATTGACATAGCAATTTATGGGATTTTTAATTTTGTTATAGTGAAAATTACTTAATAAATTTATCAGAAATAATAAACTAAAATTAATATATTGTATGAAAATGAGATTAACTGAATGTCCTAAAAGGAGCCTGAGAGGATAAAAAACCATATTCTTTTCAGAAGAGGACAATTAAAGTCATATGACTTTTATAACAAAGACATTTTAGTAGAAATTATCAAATGATAAATTCAAATAGGCTGCCACAAACATAACTATATACTCAAAAAATTATTTTCTAAAATAATTTTACATTATCATATAAGAGCAAATAACTGCCAGGTGCAGTGGCTCACGCCTATAATCCCAGCACTTTGGGAGGCTAAGGCAGGTGGATCGCTTCAGATCAGGAGTTCGACACCACCCTGGCCAACATGGTGAAACCCTGTCTCTACTAAAAATACAAAAATTAGCCTGGAATGGTGGTGGGTGCCTGTAATCCCAGCTGCTCCGGAGGCTGAGGCATGAGAATCTCTTGAACCCAGGAGGCAGTTTGCAGTGAGCCGAGATCATGTCACTGCGCTCTAGCCTGGGTGACAGAGAGAGACTCCATCTGAAAACACAACAAAACAAACAAACAAAACAAAGTGGGTTTATCAGCAGATCCACTGAATGGAAAATTTCTCCAATGCGTGCTTAAAGTAAAAGAACATTTATCCCTGATGGGAAACTCTAGATTTCTTTGGTCTTTAGAAGAAAACAGCTTTCTCTCTAGTCGTTCCACTTCATGCTGTCGAGGATGGGCATGGGGGCAAGTGACTCTGAGGAAGGAGGAAGGCTGTGTCTGAGGGTGGTCGTGTCTCCTGCCCATCTGAGCGACCTCTTGGAGAAGAGCCACCGACACCACCAAAGCCACCCACCTGCCTCTGCACTGTCAGGCAACAGACACAGAAACCATGTCACATTTAGTCCACCATATTTTGAGGCTTCTTTGTAACAGCCTTAATTGTACTCTGATTCTCCTTGGTATTTCATCTCAGTTTTTGGAATCATTTATTTTTCACCTAATGGGGCCTTAACATGTGGGACTGAAGTACAGCTGAGGCTATCATGAGCCAGAGTCCTCAGCAGCAACCTCTGCCCTGAGGTCTCCAACAGCCTCCTCTTCTGCAGACTCAGAGACCCTGCTGAGCTGCTCTCCAGACAAGCAGCACATGTGAGCAACTAGGCAACCCCAGGAGGAGGTTTCTGTTAGGGGTTGTACCACTGTGGGAGGAGTTTGTAGAGCTTGCATGCAGTAATAAACCCCAACATCCTCAGCCTCCACTCTGCTGATTTTCAGTGTAAAATCTGTGCCTGATCCACTGCCACTGAACCTGTCAGGGACCCCGGAGGCCCGATTAGAACCCAAATAGATCAGGAGCTGTGGAGACTGCCCTGGCTTCTGCAGGTACCAATCCAAATAGTTGTATCCATTACTATGCAGGAGGCTCTGACTAGACCTGCAGGAGATGGAGGCCGGCTCTCCAGGGGTGACGGGCAGGGAGAGTGGAGACTGAGTCATCACAATATCCCCACTGGATCCTGAAATAATGAATTGCAAAGTTATGTACAAACCTAATGAGCAATTTTCATAATTTATCTTATGTCATTTATTTAAACTTAATTTTAAAAAATAGTGATTTATGCCATAAAAATACACATTCTAAAATGAATTCAATTTTTGTAAAGTATAAGAGACCTTTATATTTTGAAGATCTTAATCAGAGCACCAGACGTCATATTTCTTATGAGGCTTCTAATTATTCACAGAGCAAAATATCAAGTTCCCTTTTCTACAGCACAGATTATACTCCTCTAACACAGGGTAAGACTAAACATGGGATCATGGGATGCTGTGGAGCCCTAGAGCTCACCCTCCCACCCTATTCTCCTTCCTCATCTCCTTCTTTTCTTACCAGAGACCCAGAGCATTAGCAGCCCCAGGAGCTGAGCAGGGAGCCTCATTGTGAGAAGGTGAACTGAGGAGTCCTGATCAGTCAAGGCACAGTTACAGCTGAGCTTTTATCTCAGACTCACAAGGGAAGGTCCTCCCTGTGGGACAATATGCAAATCCCCTGGTGCATGCAGTGGTGTGGAAAGAGTCAATGGGGCAGGCGGGCAGGGGATATGTCTCTCCTGTGAGCAATGTGATATAAAATGGGAGGAAGGATCTGACTGTGACAGTTTGGATCTTGGGTAGGTCCCATTGTATAGGATATGCAACTCTAGGAAAGCATAACAACCCTAACAATGTAGAGATATGTCTAGAATGAATATGGATGAATGCCATTCTTCTTGGCTCCCTCCCAGCTAATCTAAAAAAGGAAACGTTACCCTTTCCTACAAGCACTGATGAGCAGACAGCCTACAAATAAAACATAGTCTTGAGCCAGTTCAAGAGTGGTCTGGTATCTGCGGTTTCCAGGATAACTGTTCAAGAATGTTCATAGCAAGTGTTGGAATCTACCCTCCCCTGGCACCTGGTGAGTGAGCCCCATAAGAGCGCTCTGTCCAAGGGCCTCATAGGGAAAATAATGTGGGTCTCTATATTTAGATTCAAGAGCCCAGTGCAGGTAAGAGGAAAGTGGGAAACAATTTATTCCTCAGGCAGTGAATATAAAATTCCTGGTGACCAATTGTTCAATCTGGTATATATCCCATCATAATCATCTCACATATGCCAGATTAACCAGAAGGATTTATTAAGGGAAGACTTTTCTAGGATAATTATATAGAAAGAACAAAAACTAACTTTGCACTATGTTTTTCTGAATGGTGTTAACAAAAGCTCTTCCCACAGTCTTCCTCATCATGTGGAATGAGGTCCTATCAGGACTTCCAGTTTTTCGTCAACTACCAAGTGAGATCTGAGTGTCCCCTGGGCCTGTAAGTGGTGCAGCCACAGCCATGAGTTCACAATTCGAGTGGAAATTCTCTATGTAAGAAGAGCACGAACTGGATCCACAGCTTTACTGTCTCATGGTCACCATTACCCATGACTGGCATTTTCCTGAGCTTTCATGTAAAGACGATCACAGCTCAGAGATGTCAATCTACCACACAGCTGATCATGAAAACAGGGAAACAATCCAACTATTTGTTTGTCAATGATATGCTCAAGATTGAGTTGAACAGCTCTTGAAAGATTGTGCCTACATCAGATCCCTTCACAAGGACACGCACTGTCCTGGAGAGAAAACATCTGGGGAGAGCCAACGTAATAGATTGCAGTACTATGTAATCTCGGGTAATTTAACCCAAAGTCATGCTTACTTGGTAAAAAACACAAACAAATGCAGTTCTAAGTATGATCCCACAAGAAAGCTTGGTCTGCATATCTTTTGGGAAATCTACCAAAATAAGACTTTTTAACAAGATTGGAAAAAGTAATTGAGTAAAAATGATCTTAAATGTCGAACTCCATGTTAATATTCTGAGTTGATGACCACAAATTATCATGAGGAGGTAGGAGTACAATAAAAGTCTTATATTCCAGTCTTTAAAATATTTATTATTTTCTTTTATTTAATTTTGTAAGTTTTGTGTATTTAACTTTTTTATCCCATGATGTTGACCAATTCAATGCAGGTTCTTAGTCTTGAAAATTTCAGACTCTTAATTAATCATGCTAGTGAAAGGATTCAGAAATATTGGTAGGTGGAAAGAAAAAATAATAAATGCAAACTAAACTTAACATACTAACAAAAAAGAACACTATTGAATGCATTATGTCTGGTTTTAAAGGATTACTCTGAAAGTATGTTAAATGAAGGATCAGTTCTATCTACCATCTAATATGGATGCTTGAATTGAGAGAAAATGACAAATGATAAAAAATCTTTCGTGCTTTCTTTTGCAAGGCAATTCAAGAATATGTTATTTTTACAAAATATTCTTTAATATTTTTGAATTTCAGAGAGTATTGCTATTCGCTATGAAAATTAACAACAAAGCTTTAAGGAGTCTGCCATTGTATTTGGTAATTTACTTCAGAATCTGTTGCCCTTACGTATTCAGAAAATGTAAAATCTTATAAAAATTATTTGGTGCAAAAAAAAGTTTTGAAGCTACCCTATACTACCTATGTACTTAAATAATAATATTTCTAATTCCAAATAGAAATCTCTGTCTCCCAAACATTAACACATTATGCCAAGGCTTTGATAACAATGGATGAAGCTGGTGGCTCCACAGTGGACACAGGTAAGAAGGTGTAAGAACAGTCTCCATTTGATCCAGGTGGGAAGCAGGCCTCTGTGTGTCTCTAATCTGAACCATGGTCATCTGAATGAGGAAGGACTGATACAGGTGGATCTTACTGTAGTTGTGTCTCCTTTGCCTGATGCTGTGAGATCGGAGCCCATAAAATTGGAAGTAAGTGTATTACTTGTATGACATGGGAAGATAATCATGGAAATGGAAGTGTTTGTGTCCTTGGAAGTCAGTGTTTGTGGGGTTGGATGGAGAGTGTGATCCTGTTGTTTGTACATCATTTGAGGACTTTGGAGCCTGGGCAAAGAAAAAGAGATGTCCACAGGATGGCAGTAGCACACACAACTTTTATTGGGTGAAGCTTTGACAGGTTTGCCGGTAGTTCCTGAGAGCAGGAGTCTGTCTATAGGCCAAGGGGCCAAGGTTGTTATTCAGAAGGGGGGGAGGAAGAAATTTGCTGTATAAGGGGCTTATGTGTCTAGGTGTTGTCACACAGCAGTGTTGGGGTGATCAGACCCAACACCAGGTCATGGGGATGACCAAGTCTGGTGGAGTCAAAGGATTGAGAAAAGACAGTTTGAGAAGTAAAGTGGGACCAGGGGGCCATCGTGATCATGGAGGCTGCGAAGGCCCCGAGCTCTGGGAGCCCAGTGCTATTTATTGGTTATCCAACAAAGAAAAAGGTGGTGAGAATGTGGAGGTCAAAAGGGCACGTTGCATTAGGCACAAGATTTATAGCTGTGATGGTTTAGCATTCGCTCTGCTACTTGAGATAATGGAGAGCAGGTTCCTTTAACTCAAGATACAATCGAACCTGGGAGAGCAAGGAGCAAGGAGCCAGCAAGTGTAGACACATTCCAGAGCCATGAACCCTGGATTCTATCCAAGCCACGAGGGATTTTATGCCCTGGGCTTAGATTACAGTGTGTCAGGGTAGCCTTCCACCCTTTATAGCACAGAGCTTGGTGTTCCAAACGCCACAATGGGTTTTAGACCCTGGACCCCAGACATGTTCCAAGACTGTTTTACATTATGTCAGACATGCAAGCCCTGCCTCAGCTTCTCCCAACACTCAGCTTTTCCCAATACAGCAGCACAGTGGGGAGTCTCTAGGTCAGAGAGAACCAGAGGGAAATATTAGTCTGGGGTTTTCATAACCTGGGGCTTACCTATTTCTAGCAGATGTGAGCAAGGTTCTCTGAGATACATAATGTAAGCATTCTTTACATGGCAAAAAATCTGCTTTGGGGGGCTGTTTTTGAAATGATAGGATTGTAAAGTTTGAGTTTGGCACAGGCCATAGAGAAATAAGCTGCAATTTGGAAACAAACAACATATGGGCAGTTCACACAAGACACCTTTGGCTCACTTATACATCATTGTTGCACATTTTGTAGACTTTGTTCTAAAGACTATATTAGTGCAGATAGACAAAATCCACACTGCTATGGATGAGACTGAAGACACGCTGCAGTCTTTTCCCCACCTGGACCTCAATGGAGGTTTTTAAATGTTTTATTAAAGTTGAAAGTTTGTCCTTGGTGAGAACTGAGACCAAGCCACCCACAGAGGGAGCTTCACTTTGTGAAGCTGCAGGTCCTCTGCGCTGGATTTCTGGCTTCCAGGGCACGTGAGATTGAAGTTGTCTGCATTATCTCATCGACTGAAAATTGTGACCAACTGGAGCACAGATTCATGGATAAATATCCAGGTACACAGAGAACACAGGGAATGAGGGCTCTGTGGATAGGTATCTTCTGCTTCTGAGAATCTCTCTAAACACTGGGAGACACAGGGATATTTACATATTTGACCTTTCTGAATCTTCAGACCCTGTTCTTGATCAGCCTAATCTGAGCCTGTTTCCAAATGTTTCAATTGATTGTCCTCTTTCTTAGAAAAAAACAGAAAAAAAATGATATAAAGTATACACTGAGATATGAGATTAGCTAGTGGAGTCCTGTGCTTCCAGGGATGCTTTTCCTCCGTGCATGTTCATCTTTCTGTGGGGCCCATCTCACCCCCATCAGACTGCACAAAGTGAGGCAGTGATTTTGTTGCATCCCTAAGCATTCTGTGTCCCTTACATTCTTTATTCCCTCTAAGATTCCTTCTCAGTTCTGACCCTTAAAGAAAGGGACCTCTGTCCCTGAAATAAGGTCTCCAAAAAACCACAGCTTCCCTGGGTGTTTATAAGGTTTTTACATTGTTGAGCTGCTATTCTGACCACTATTAAGAATTAATTTCTATTCCAAGCAAATTACCTTTATTAAATCTCAAAACCACATGCCAGCTATAAAAGCTTGCTCTTTTTTGGAAGCATACTCAAGAATATAATTTCCCAGTAAATATTTCCTTTAATTTAACAAGTTAATCAGCAGGTTTCTTCTTTTTCTTTTGTCTTAGATAATTTTGGTGCAGTCGAGCTCCCCAGTAAGTTGTTTAATATAAATTCCCATAATTGGGTTTAAATTTCTTCTAGGGCTGCTATATTCCATCCTACGCAAGAATCAAATAATCTTTGAGTTTTGGAGTTCACTAGTTTCCAAAGCAAGAATAGGAAACATGTGTAAGAGCTGCCTAAATAAGTAACTAACAAGTCATCCTAGCCTCCAGCTATTTGTAAACTTTGTGATTTCATCAGACGACTGTTCTAGGGAAAACAAAATTATTTATTTTATTCTATTCTATTTAATTGTCATTTACTACTAATATTTCATTTTTTGGTTGGCATAAGGGTAATTTTAGAAGAGCTAACATGTACATTTCTAAAATTACTAAAAGGTGAGGCCAATTGTCCTTCAAGGAGCACTTAAACTTTGGATTATTCTCTCTCGGCCAAGAAAAGCCAAGATAGATGTTGACATGGTTTGGATATTTATCCCACTCAAATCTCATGTTGAAATATAATTCCCAATGTTGAAGATGGGGCCTGGTGGGAGGTTTGGGGGTCATGGGGGTGCATCCCTCATGGTTTAGTACTGTCATGATGATGAGTACTTTGTGAGATCTGGTTGTTTAAACACATGTGGTACCTCACGCCACTCCCCACCTGCCTTGTTCCCACTTAAGCCATGGGATATGCCTGCTCCTGCTTCACCTTCTGTCATAAGTAAAACCTCCCTCAGGCCTCCCCAGAAGCCAAGCAGATGCCCACACCATGTGTGCACAGCCTGCAGAACTGTAAGCCAATTGAACACCTTTCCTTTATAAATTACCCAGTCTCACATTTCCCTGATTCCAAAAGTGAAGTTTATTACTATGCTACTGCTACCACATTAGAGGCAATTCACCATTTCCACCTGCTAGTGCAGAGCTTGTGTTATTATTTAAGACTAAGAATGGCCACTGAATAATTCATTCAGCCCGTGGCTCTTTCATGTTCTGTATTTTGGATTTGTGGTAACTTGGTATGGAATTAAATGGTTGAAAAAATACTTTTGTTAATTTTGGAAATCAACAGAAGTTATTTAGTTTGGTCTTTTATTCTTCCTTGGGATCTTAAAATAGCCTTATTCAAAATCTGTAAAAGCCCTGGCCCCCATTCATACAGAAGAAGAGCCCGTGCCCCTTACTGAGGCCTCATGGCCTCCTTAACTCAAAGGCTCTCCAGCCACCTCCACCTGAGTTTGGTGTGGATGCATCCTCTGGGCACCACAGCTGCTCCTGCCACACTGAGAGGCTGAGCCTTTTTGGAAGGTTTGTGTTTGGGGCCTTCACACTGTGCAGGGCCCCAGTGAGTGTCCTGCTCACAGGAGTCTGTGCACTGTCTCTAGGCTCCACACTGACAATTATGCAAGTGAAATCAATCCAATTTTGGTTAAATGTGTGCATGTGTATTCAACTTGTTTTGCTACAAAGCGGCCTGAGTTTTCTGGCTGTTCTGCTACCTGTATTTGTTAGGCATCTGCACACCGGCAGAAAGAATCAAGATGAGCTTTCATTGAGCCTTTCCTCTGGCAAGATGTGGCTCAGAGCCCACTGCATCCTCCTTTCTGCTGTTGTTCTGCCCTGCCGAGGCTCTTGCAGCTGAAGGGGACTTTAAATGTGTCACATATTCTTCCATTGTTAAATGTGAGATAATTTGTTTTGCTCTGCAGGAAAGCTTCATTCACTTGAAGAAGGAGATTAAAGATTTCTAAAGCAGGATGCTAATCTTTTGATCTTTGTGCAATTTTGTTATTAAACCTGTCTCTTTCTGAGAGTAAAAGAGGTATAATTTGATTTAAAAGTTTCCAGCTTTAACATCTGTCAATGTAAGCCTTCCAAAGAAAATTCTGGCACTGCTCAAGTCAACTAAATATTTTCTTATGAACCATCAGTTTTGCTCCATGTAATTTTCCAAATAATCCCCGCAATCCAAAACACACACACCTCTTAGAAGACAACTAAGGAGATATCCACGAGGCTTTTGTATCATTATTTCTAAAGATGAGGAGTTAGAGACAATCTGGGTATCTATTACCAGGAACATAGGTTAAATGTAGTTGACATCTTGACTGGATCATCAGGCAGCAATGAGAAGTAATAGACAAGTTTCACCCTTAACAACACTGAAATATTTTAACTCATACATCTCAGTAGAAAAACAGTGAGCATAATGACATATTTCACAGGATGATATTTACATAAAATAAACATAATTGTGCACATACGATATGTATAACACATTGAATGGAAAATATACTAAAAATACAAAACAATAAGCAGAGAGAAATGTTCACTTCTCTAGCCCCACACCAGCCTCTCCTTCTCCCCTGGCTTCTCCTAGCCTAGAGCTATCCATCAGCACAGGGAAGGAATATTATGTGCAGGCCCCAAGCACTCTGAGCTCAGGAACCAGCTTTTTGAGGAAGGCCTGGATATGCCAGGCATTCAGCTCCTGGCAACCTGGAAGCTATGGAAAATCATAGCACCTCTTTCCAGGGAAAAGAAGCACCAAACTTCAGCCAGTTTGTTACCAGGCAACTGAGAAAGAGCCCTGGGGTATTTTCTGACAACCCGTGAATTATTTGGCCTCCACCCCCTTAAGAGAACCTAAGGAATAACAGTCCATTTCTAACCTTCTTCTCTGCCTCCTTCTATTAGATCCTAATTCAATCATGCACCAAGACAAGTCAAAGCCTTGGTGGGCATATCAATCCTGATGTGTGACATTTTATTCACTTTTTTATTCTGAAAGTAAGTATCTTCTTAAATTTTGCATCTATATTATAAATCAATGTAATATATGTATTTATACAGAAATAAATATAACTTTGTTGTTATAATGCATGACTTTAAATTGTGATAAATTGAGCAGGAACATTTAAAACCAGCAATGGGTGCACCACTCCATGGCTCCTTCCCCACTGCAGAGCCCGAGAGTGAGGAAACTCAGGCTTTACCTCCATGTCCCTGCAGGGCTGAGCACTGACCTGCTCATTGCTGAGAACTTTGAGTGACCAGAGCGGGTCTGAGGAACACAGAGCAGCAGGTGCCAGGGAGACAGGCGGTGGAGCTAGGCGGTGGAGGAACATTTGGTGCCCAGAGCTTCCTGTGGGCAGGTCCTTCCCATAGGGGATCCTGTCAGACAGAGCAGCACATGAGGTCAGTGGCTGTGTGGTCACAGGATGAAAGCCCTCCACAGCCTATTGGCAGCCTCCCCTCTGACTGGAGCCATGTGGGACCTATCGGCCCAGCTTTCACGACTCACACAGCTGCTGGAACCCTGTTCACAATGGGGTTCCTTGATCAGCTTCACTGCTGATGGCCAGAGTGATATCTGTCCAGGCAGTTGAACCCTGACCCGGGCAGGTGTTGCATCCACAGAGAACCAGGAGCCAACAGGAGCTCAGAGCTGGGCCTGTTTTCTGCGGGAGCCAAGCAAAAATAGAACGCTCTTAACACTCTGGCCGGCCCTACAGATGACAGTGGCCTTCTCTCTGGGGACATAGGAAAAGGGGTAAGAGATGGAGTGCACACAACATACCCACTGGCATCTATGTCGGAAACAAACATGAACATCCCCAAGTATTAATACCAAACAAGTAGTTCATTCAGTTTGATGAAGTTCTGATCAGAAAGCAAAACAGGCTAACCACTTCATCTTCAAGGAGACATTCTAGTAGAAAATGCAGACAAATAGGATGAAGCCTGCATCTGCCTTCCTCACTAGAGAATCAGAACAGCAGGAGGAACAGGAACAAAGCTGGGTGCCCATGTCCATGGGGAGCCTCTGGAGGCCTATTCTGCTTGGAGCTGGCAAGGATGGTGTAGTAGTCCACTGGGACTCCAACACCAAAATGGATATGGCTGGACAACTTAAACTGCAGAAATTAATTTTTATATTTCTGGTGGCTGGAAATTGCAAGATCAAAGTCCAACAAGGTTCACTTTCTGGTAAGGACCTTCTTCCTGGTTTGGAGATAGCCACCGTGGGTAGAAAGTTGAGTTAGGGGCAAGAGGGAGGAGAGAGAGAGAGAGAAAAGGAGAGCTCTCTGGTTTCTATTCTTATAAGAACATTAATTCTATTGGATCATGGTCCCATCCTTTTGACCTCATTTAGCCTCAATTACCTCAATCATCTCCTACAGCTGCATAAGGGGAATAGGGCCAGGCTTGCATTCTCAGATCACAGAGCAAAGAGGGGTTTCCCCACAAGACAGCACGCTGGAAGCTCCTCCTGGGTGCTCCAGGTCACACATGAGACCCCATTTCAGCCTTAGGGGCTCCATGTTGATAAGCAGACATCATCACCCTTACAATGCAAGTAATATTTTTAGATCATGGCAATCTCTTTGGTTTATTGTGGGGTTTGTTTGCCATCTAGAGGCAGGTCTTTGACATAGCAACGTTCAGGATTTTTGACTTTGTGCTAGTGAAAATTAATTTTTTTTCTTTTTTTTATTATTATACTTTAAGTTTTAGGGTACATGTGCACATTGAAAATTAATTATTAAACATAAATAATGAATTAAACTTAATACATTGATTGTTTAAGAAAAACCCAAAGGCCATCAAAGGGCTTAAAATGGGTATAAAGGGATAAAAAGACAGAGTCCTTCCAAAGGAGGACTGTCTGTCACAGATGAGTCTTTTTTTATCAAATGACTTTTTAGCAGTAATTCTCAATGGTAAATGACAACTTCAGGTAGACTGCCACAATATAATCACATATTCAAAAAAATTATTTCCAGGAATCATGTAAATACATTTTCAGATTAAAAACAACAAAAAGTGTGAGTTTCTCACAAGATTCACTTGGTGAAAAATTTCACAAACCTGTGCTTTACACAAAAGAACATTTATCCCTGGTGGAAAACTGGAGTTTTCTTTGGCCTTTAGAAGAAAACAGCTTTCCCTTCACTCTGCTCCACCTCATGCTGCTGAGGATGGCCGTGGGGGCAGAGACTGTGAGGAAGGAGGAGGGCTGTGCGCTGAGGGTGGTCGTGGTTCCTGCCCACCTGAGTGACCTCATGGAGCAGAGCCACCGACACCACCAAGGCCACCTGCCTGCCTCTACACTGCCATGGCACAGACAGAGAAACCTTGTCACATTCAGTCCACCATATTTTGAAGCTTCTTTGTAATACATTTGATTATGCTCTGATTCTCTTTGTATCCCTTTCCGTATTTGGAATCATTTATTTTTCACCATTTTGACTTGAGAGTATCGCCCCTTGAGGTATCAGCACCATGTAGGCTGTATGTTTGTTTGGTTTTTAAAGGTGTCCAACCACCTTGAGTGGTTTGGGCCTTTTCCCCTGTCTCACATCAAAGCAGAATCTTAGGTCACTAGGTGCTGTCAATCACTTGATGGCCAAAGATGGTGATGACAGTGGTTAGTTCCTGCCCTTGCTACTTACGCTTGTCTTCTCTCCCTGCATTCTGTAATAACTTTTAAGCTCCATGATGAATTAATTAGCATTTTAAACAGTGTATTAAGTGTCTTATGTTTCTTATTTTCACAGTTTCAGTCTGCTTGATTTCTATATAAATATTGCAATGTCTACTAAACCCAACAGAAATGGCGCTTCGGAATTTTAATTGCACTTGCCATGAAATCCATTATCTTAGAGTAGAAAATCATCTCAAATATACTTTAAACCTTAAATCTGAAGCAGGAGCTTCTTGTTCTGTTGCTTCAATCATTTTGTGTCTATCACACAATATTGTAATATGTAACTGACATAGCTCATCATTGAGCTTGATAGAATATTATAACACTAGAACACTATTTTACATGGAATCTATTGAAATAATAAATTTTCTATGTTTTTACAACTAAAACATATGATCCAGATTCATTTTCTGGTAATGATGTTATCATAAGTAAATAATACATTTTTGTAACATTTGAAACCTTTTATTATGATGACATAGTACTAAATTTATCATCCCTAAAATAGTACTTAGAATAAATACTTTTACAATTAGAATTTGGTTGAGGAAAAAAAAAACCTCTCATATAATTCTGCATTTTTCCTGTGGCATATTTAGTAAACTCTGTGTTTTTCATCTTTCAGTTTATGCTGCTTTTTTTTTTTTTTTTTTTGACAGAATTTCGCCTTGTAGCCCAGGCTGGAGTGCAGTGGCACTATCTCCAGCTCACTGCAACCTCCACCTCCCAGGTTCAAGTGATTTTCCTGCATCGGCCTCCCAACTAGCCGGGATTACAGGTGTGTGCCACCACGCCCTGGCTAATTTTGTATTTTCAGTAGAGACCGGGTTTCACCATGTTGGTCAGGCTGGTCTCGAACTCCTGACCTCAGGTGATCCATCCACCTCGGCCTCCCAAAGTGCTGGAATGACAGGCGTGAGCCACTGTACCCGGCCAGTGCTGCTTATTTCTGAAGCTCACTTTTGGAGTTGCAAGAACTCCCTCTTCACTGGGAAAAACGTAATTGAGGCAAATCAAAATCTTTTGGCATTAAGATTTATATCTGCCATGGATTTACAAAGTCTAAGAATAGTCAGAAATCAAACATTTTTTTTCTAATTATTCTTATCCATACTCCCCCTGAGGACAGCTTGTATAGAACACGTTCTCCCACATGACACTGGAAAGTGCAGTTTAGTGTGAGTAGTAAAGTGAAATAGAAAGTAAGGAAAGTGGGAAAATACCAAATTCGCAATAATTCCAAATATTATCACCAAGTATTAATTTGTGTAAAATAAACCCCAAGCTGGTCATTTGCCACATGTATTCCACCTGTGTTGTCACTAAACTGCATCTATGTTCTGGCTGTTATGCTGATTGAGTGTACTCGGCAAACGTGGGCAAGACAGGCAGGGTGAGGATGAGCCTGGCAACTGATAAAGCTTTGACCATGTGGGACTGAGGTGCTGCTGAGACTCTCATGGGCCAGAGTCCTCAACAGCAAGCCCTGCCCCTGAGTTCTCCAACAGTCTCCTCTTCTGCAGACTCAGAGTCCCTGCTGAGCTACTCCCCAGACAAGCAGTGCAAGTGAGCAGCTGGGACACCCCAGCAGGGAGGTTTCTGTATTGGTCTGTACCACTGTGGGAGGAAGGTGTATACCTTGCATTCAGTAATAAACCCCAACATCCTCAGCCTCCACCCGGCTGATTTTCAGTGTGAAATCTGTCCCTGACCCGCTGCCACTGAACCTATCTGGCACTCCAGAGAACCGGCTGGAAACTTCATAGATCAGGAGCTGTGGAGACTGGCCTGGCTTCTGCAGGTACCAATACAAATAGGTCTTTCCATCACTATGCAGGAGGCTCTGACTAGACTTGCAGGAGATGGAGGCCGGCTGTCCAGGGGTGACGGACAGAGAGAGTGGAGTCTGGGTCATCACAATATCCGCACTGGATCCTGAAATTATGAGAGAGAAGTGCAAGGTTATGTGAAAGCATAATGAACAACTTTTGAGATTTGCCTTATGATATTGATTTATGGCTAATCTTTTATTTTTACAAATTTGTATTCATATCATAAAAACAAAATTTTAAATGAACCCTTTATTAAATAGGCACAAGAGTTCTTTCATTTCTCAAGATATTATTCAGAGCACTGCTTTTAGGAGTTTTCAAATCATCATCAGGGCAAAATATGAATTCCTCTCCCTGGAGCATAGGGCATATTCCTTTAACACATGGTTAGAATAAACACGGGAATCAGTGGGGCCGCCAGAGCTCAGCCTCCCACCCCCTCCTCCTCCCTCATCTCCTTCCATCCTTACCAGGGATCCAGAGCATTAGCAGCCCCAGGAGCTGAGCAGGGAGCCTCATGGTGAGAAGATGAACTGAGAAGTCCTGATCAGTCAAGGCAAGGTTAGAGCTGAGCTTTTATCTCAGGCTCACAAGGGAAGGTCCTCCCTAGGGGACAATATGCAAATCACCTGGTGGGTGCAGTGGTGTGGAAAGAGCCATTGGGTGGGGGGTGAAGGGGGTAGATATGTCTTCTCTGTGAGCAATGTGATATAAAGTGTCCCTTGGAGGAAACTAATAAAACCTAATTCATCATAGAGGAGGAAGAAGGACCTGAATTTGAAAGTTTCAATCTTGGGCAAGTAACGTTTTATAGGATGTCAGGGCTTCCAAATTCTTGTCAACTCTGAGGGTGAACCCTTGTCTCCCCCTGGCCTGTATGTGGCACAGCCACAGCCATGACACCACAGTTCAAAATGAGATTCTCTATGTAGGAAGAGCAAGAACTGGATCCCTGGTTTTAAGTCTCAGGGTCAGCAGTACTATGGACGACATTTTCCTAGGTTTTTATTGAAAGATGATCACAGGTCAGGCATATGAATCTACCACACAACTCATCGTTACAATAGGAAAACAACTTGAGTATTCTTCATTTGTCAGTGATGTGCTTAATATTGAATTTAGCTGCTCCTGAATAACGGTGCGTACATCAAATCACTTCACAGAGACTGCCACTGTCCTGAAAAAAACAACAAAAATCCTGGGAGCAATTAAAAGAATAGTTTCTAGTGCTATGTAATCTTCAGTGATTTAATACAACATCTGATTTACTTGGTAAAGAACACACACCCAGAAAAGCAAAACAGAGCTCTAGGTGTTTTGCACACAAAGCTTGTCCTGATTATCTTCCGGGAAATGCACTGGCATATGATGTTTTAACAAAGTTGGTGAAAAAAATTGAGTAAAAATGATATTGACCTTAAAACGTTGAACGTCATGGCAGTAACCTAAATTGAGAATATCAAATTGTAGTGTGGAAGTAGGATTAGAATAAATGTATCATATTTCACTATTTAAATTTTTATTTATTCTATTCTTTCATCACTTTTTGTAAATCTTATGTGTTTCACTTTTTTTTTTTCTTGAGACAGTCTCTGTCTGTTACTCAGGCTGGAGTGTAGTGGTGCAATCTCTGCTCACAGCAACCTCTGCCTCCTGGGTTCAAGCAGTTCTCATGTCTTTGGAGTAGATGGGACTACAGGCATTCTCCACCATGCCCAACTAATTTCTGTATTTTTAGTAGAGACGAGGTTTCCACATGTCGGCCAGGCTTGTCTCGAACTCCTGGCCTCAAGCGATCCACCTGCCTTGGCCTCTGAAAGTGCTGGGATTACAGGAGTGAGCCACGGTGCCTGGCATTGACTTCTTTTTTCTTGTGATGCTGAGCAGGTCAAATATGGTTCTTAGCCTTGGAAATGTCAAACTCCTAATTCATCATAATAGTTAAAAGAGTCAGAAACATCAGATGCTGAAAAGAAAAATAAAAGTAAAGACACAATCTAAAAGAGAACATTAAGGTACATCTTATCACTGGTATAAACGGATTAGTCTGAAAAGGTGTTAACTGAATAATCAGTTCCACCCACTATCCTATATAGAAACTTGCATTGTGGGAAAACGAATAACAGTAATAAATCTGTCAGGCTTGCTTTTACTATTAGTCAATTCTTCAAAATCTTAGTTTTACAAAGTATTCTTTAAGGTGCTGAATTTCAGAGAGTACTGCTGTTTCCTTTGAAAATTAATGACAGAGCTTTAAAAAGTTTACGATTGGGATTGGTTGTTTTATCTCATAATCTCTTGTCATTACATATCTGAAAATGTAAAACCTTGTAAAAAATTGTTTCAATCATAAAAAGGCTCTGAAATTACCCTATACTAAAGGCCTTGAAATTACCCTACATTATTAAACTTAGAGAATAATATTCTTAATTCTAAAGAGGAACCCCTCTCTCCTGAAGGTTTAAATAGAGTACACAGAGGCTTCACAACAGCAGACAAAGCTGGTCGCTCCATGCTGGACACAGTTAAAAAGGTAGAAGAACAGCCTCTATTTGATTCAATTGTGGAGCGGCCTCTGTATTTCTCGAATCTGGACCATGATCAGTCGAATGAGGAAGGACTCATCCGGGTGGGGTTTATTGCATCTCACTTGCCAGATGCTGTTAGTTTGCAGTCCATAAAATTGAAGGCAAGTGTATTATTTGTATGACTTGAGAAGACAGCCTCGGAGGTGGAATTGTGTCCATTATGCTGGAGTCAGTGTTTGTGGGGTGGATAGTGTGGTCCTGTTTATAGAGAGTTTGAAAAATTGAGGTTCTGATCAAACAGAAAGAGATGTCCATAGGGTGGCAGTAGCACACATGACTGTTGTTGGGTGAAGCTTTGACAGATTTGCCCAAAGGAGTCCCTCACAGCAGGAGACTGTCTAGAATGAAAGATGTTGGGGCTGCTACTCAGAAAAGGTGGAGAACAAGGGAAATCCTAAGGTAAAGGAACATTGGAGAAAGGCATTCTCTGTCTAGGGGTAGCCAGACAACAGCTTAATCTGGGTCTGAGATATCCAGAGGGCAGGAGTGATTTGCAATTTTCATCTCCTGGGGCTTATCTTACCTACTGCTAACAGATGTGGGTGAGGTTTCCTGTGATATGAAAAGCAAGCATTCTCTGAATGGCTAAAAATCTTCTTTCGGGCTGGGCGCAGTGGCTCACGCCTGTAATCCCAGCACTTTGGGAGGCCAAGGTGGGCAGATCATGAGGTCAGGAGATGGAGACCATCCTGGCTAACATGGTGAAACCCCATATCTACTAAATATACAAAAAAATTAGCCAGGTGTGGTGGCAGGCGCCTGTAGTCCCAGATACTCAGGAGGCTGAGGCAGGGTAATCGCTTGAACCCGGGAGGCAGAGGTGGCAGTGAGCAGAGATCGTGCAACTGCACTCTAGCCTGGGCAACAGAGCAAGACTCGGTCTCAAAAAAAAAAAAAAAAATAATCTTTGGGCTGTTTTTGAAATGATTGGATTGGAAAACTTGAGTGTGGCACAGGCCATTTAGAAATAGCCTGCAGTTTAGAAACACACCACATAGGGGCAGTTTGCACTGGCCATCTTTAGCTCATTTCTACAACACTGTCACACATTCTGTAAACTTTTTTCTGCCGACTGTACTTGTCCAAACAGGGAAACTCACACTGTTCTGGAGGAGATTGAGACATACAGAGGCCTGTTCTCCACCTGGACCTCAATGGAGGTTTTTCCTGACTAAAAGTGAGAGTTTGCCCCTGTGTAAGAGGCGGGCGGATCACGAGGTCAGGAGATGGAGACCATCCTGGCTAACACGGTGAAACCCTGTCTCTACTACAAATACAAAAGATTAGCCAGGCGTGGTGGCGGGCGCCTGTAGTCCCAGCTACTCTGGAGGCTGAGGCAAGAGAATGGCTTGAACCTGGGAGGCGGAGATTACAGTGAGCGGAGATGGCGCCACCATACTCCAGACTGGGTGACAGAGCGAGACTCCGTCTCAAAAAAAAAAAAAAAAAAAAAAAAAAGACCAAGTCACCTACAAAGGGAGCTTCAGTCTCTGACGCTGCAGGTCCTGTGACTAGATTCCTGGCTCCAGACACCTGAGATTGAAGCTGTCTGCATTATCTCACTAACTGAAAATTGTCACCACTGGGGCATAGATTCATGGATAAATATTCTGGTACACAGAGAGCTCAGGGAATGAAGGCTTCTTGTACGTCTATATCTTGTGCTTCTGAGAATTTCTCTCTCTAAAAACTGGAGAAAACAGAGTTGTTTACATGTTTGACCTGGAAGGCAACATGTAACATGTTTCTGAGTCTTCAGACCCTGTTCTAACCTGCCAAATCTGAAACTGTTTCTAAACGTTTGGATTATTTGTCTTTCCTTTTGCTTAAAAAAAAATGGAAAAAAGTCCTATAAAACAACAGACTGAGCTGTGAGATTCAGTGCTGGAGTTTTCCTTCATGCATGTTAATCTTTCTGCAGAGCCCACCTCACCAAACATCAATACAAAAAGCGAAACAATAATTCCATTGCCTCCCTGGGCCTTCTGCATCTTATAAGTTCCCTCGAAATTCTCACCCTTATAGAAAGTAGGTCTCTATAAAACCACTCCTCAAAAGTAGGTTTCTAGAAAATCACAACTTGCCTGGAAGGTTATTAATTTTTTCCACCATGTGAACATGAAAGTTGTCTTTTTGACCTTATATTAAAGCTTGGTTTAATTGAGAGGTGGAGGGTGGAGACCCCAAGAAGATTCTGGGGACGGAATCGGGAATTTGAGCCTTTTAAACTGCAGTGGAAACTGCCTGTGATGTAAAAATTTGTATGAATATACCAAGAAGACAAATAAATTTGTTTCTTACTTTTTAATTTAGAGAGCATGGTTCACCTACAGAAAAATTAAAATTATAATTTGAGAATTTTGACATTTATTACTCATTTTATATTAATTTTAAGATCAACAAAATACTCATATACATTTTGAATGCAGAAATGTTAAGACCTTCAGGAAAAAATCAGAGACAAAATCAAATCACTTAATTTATAAAATCAACAGAAATTCTCTTTTAGCCTCTTCCTGTCAACTCCTGTTCATAAAAATCTAAAGTTCAGAATAAGAAAGAGGCAGGGGCTGAACAAATTACCTGGTGTTCATTCCTTGTTATAACAACAATAATGGTAATAATAACAATAACTGCACAGCCTCTACATGGACACCTGGAAATGGTGACTCTGCCTTATGGAAGCAGCAGCTTCATGTCATAGTGGTAAATTTCACTTTTACTGGTCCTTTCTTGGCCAGGAGTCAACGATCACCCAAAGTTCACATGCGCTATGAAGCATTAACTGTGCTCAAATTTCAGTACTTCTCCAAATTTGTTTTTCTAAAATATATCCTAGCAAGAAAAGAATGCAAGATCAGTAATAAAATAAAGTTAAATAAAATAAATTTTAATCTCCTAGAAGCAGTCAGGGCATGAAATTATAAAGTGTAACAAAGGACTATAGATATGACTGTGTCTTAGAGACTTACTTTACCAGCTCTTACTCCTATTTAATGTTCTTACCCTAGAAAATGAAGAATATCGTCAACCTAGAAAATGACTTTTTGTATTGTGAAATCCTAGCAGTCCTAGGTAGAATTTAAAGCCTAATATGAGAATCTCTGTTATCCGCTTATCCCAGAAAATCTGATTGCACAAAAAGTGTCTATATTTAGCACATTAAAACAGAAAACCTATTGATCCTGTGGAATACTGTAGCAAATATGTGCAAGTTTATGATACTCATGAATAGACCTTTAAACTTGAGCAACATCTTTTGTTTCCAGGTTGATGCTAAGGTATTAAATTTCAGTAAAAGTAATTTGTCTTGAGCTCAAACTAGCTTATAATATTTGTCATTACATACAGTTCAGCTTATTCAGAACTGGTAAGAAAATATGACATCATGAGAAAACTGTTATTAAATTTGCCCCAATATTAATATTTGCAGAGAGACTGAGAGGCATGATTTGCACAACCGTATTCAAGATATTAAAATGTTTAATGGAATAGGCAAATCCATAAAAGAAATAAAAACTTTAGACCAGGTTTAATATACTTATCGAGAATTTGACTTGTGTAGCCTACTGAGTTATTGACAGAAGGACTGGGTAAGAGTTGGTGCAGTAGAAGTCAGGACATCACAGTGTCAACTTTTACCCCTTCCTCATTAGAAAGCCAGGCCAGAAACTGCCCTGACACAAGGAAAATTATCAGAAAATTCCTGGAGAACTCTTTGTGACTGCCTGGTCATACTCTGGCTATGGTTGGGAGGCTGACCTCTCCCAGCTGGTATTGCACTGCAGCTCATATTTCTGGGTACTCAGCTCTATAGCTGCCATCAAATGGCATTAAATGGTTTACCCAAATCAATAAGGTTACGATAGTATGTGCTTCATAAACTTGGAGAGAATCAGAGTTCCTGATGATAGGTATATGTATTCCATTCCATTCTGTTTCATGAGAGTCTTTATTTAAAAAAATGAAGGAAGCTCACAGCGGCCTTTTTGGAATCTAGAGGCAACAGATTCTACACCGTGGAATACTGGTCATGTCACCATCCAGGTGACATGGAAGTCTTCCCAGCCTTTAGTGGAGACCCAGGGCAGAAAAGGGCTCTGCAGCAGCTCCAGCCTGCACTGTAGGCAACAGTGTCTCTTGGGCCCATGCAGATACAGATGACTTGCCAAAGCCATCAACCATGTGGGTAGGATTGACACTGAGAGAACACTCTGCCACAACAGCAGACTCCATAGCCATTTTAAAACATTAGCTAAGAGAGATCATGCTTTGGGCCACAAGTTATTTCAAAGAAATTAAATGGATTTAAATCATATAAAATAAAGTTTCAGAAGCCAAGGGAAATTTATTAGGAATCAATGACAGAAAGCTATCAGAAAAAAATCTCAATATTTTAAAACTATGTAACATACTACTAAATAAAGCCTGGGACAAAGATGAAACCAAGAGATGGACATTTCAAAGCAATCTGAAGTGAAAGAAAACACATATCAAAAGTTGTGGGATGCAAGAAGACATTTAATTTATAACACCGAATTTCTAGAAATATTCATGCATTTTAGCAAATAAATTTTCAAACCGATCCCCTGAGCTGCCACCCTGACATACAAGTACAAGAAGAGCAAATTGTGCTCAAAATACTTTATTCTTAAAAATGTGGGCATGTGATGAGCACATGTCTAGTATTGCAGCAAGGAAATCACATCAGCCTGGAAATAAAAACCCACATTAGCAGCTTCACAGGAGAAAGTGGATGGGCAGAGTAAGTAAGTGTGCAGAGAAAATTGGAAGAAGATAGGAAAAGTGAAAATAGGAATTGTGTGTAATATTAATACAGGCTATGCATGTGTGAGACTCCTGTGAGCTTTGACTTGCTCAAAAGCAAAAATCATGCAGTGCAGACAACTTTCAATCCTCAGAGTGTTGGTGAGAGTGAGGTCATTTGGCAAAGGGAGGACAAAGTGCCCCGAAGGTCATCAGAGGCAGCAGGTGAGGTCACGACCCACCAGGATCCCGTCCCAGTGACGTGAACGAGCATCCCTGAAGCCATGAGGGCAGCAGGGAACTTCATGGTTGCTCCAGAGAGGACATGGCAGCCACTCCCTGGAGAGTCTGTGGGGCCTGAACACCCTAAGTTGGGAGGAAGGAAGAGGCTCTGGGAGGCTTCCTGGGGGCCCTGGCCCTGTTCGCACAGAAGTAGAGCCCATGCCTGTAAGTGAGGACTCATGACCTCCTCTTCAAAGGCTCTCCAGCCATCTTCACCTGAGCCCATCTGCTGTGGACTCCATCTCTGGGCGCTGCAGTTGCTGGTGCTGCACTGAGAGGCTGAGCCTCCTAGGGAGGCTGCGTTTGAGGCCCTCGGGCTGTGCAGGGTCCTGGTGAGTTTTCTGCTCACAGGAGAACGTGCAGCATCTCCAGGCTCCAAACTGGTGCCTGTGATGAAGAAATGAATAAAATTTTGATTGTATGTGTGTCCTTACTTTTTGGTATGTGTAAAAATATACTCTGGAGACTTGTTATTAATTTTGTCTTATACACCACTTGCTATAAACCAAATTTTTACTGTATATGTTGTCTGTCTGGTTAAAACTACAGATTTAATTATGCTTGTCATGGAATACATTATCTTTAATAGAAAATTATCTCGAATGTAACATATTTCTTTAATCTAAATCTGGATTACTTTATCCTGTTGATTGCAACATTGTTTTACTTTAGTCATACCACACTATAGGACGTAAATCACAGGCTCATTACTAATTCACAAATATTCATAGAGAACTATTTTAAATTGACTCTATGGAAAGCATACATTTTTTATATCACTATTGTTAGAATGTGGGAATCAGGTTTATGTCCAAGTACTGACAAGGTACAGTGAAAATAATACATTAATTTATTGTTTAAAAATGTTTTACTTTTTTTGACTAAATAGTACCAACATAGTCACTTCTAAAACTTTATTTGTGTTTAAAAAAAAATGAAGGGAATCTTCATTCCCAGGTACAGCAATGTAGATAGAAGTGGAAAGGCCAAAACAACCACTGCAAAAGGTACAAACCATTTAAAACAATAGAATACCAAAGTTAGAATTAAATGACTTTAGAAAGTAGTGGAAGGAATAAGGAATGAATGATCTAAAATTCCATAGTAAAAAGAACCTTTCATTGTTGAGCTGATGCTCACCTGACTTTTTGTCCTTCTGCCATAGCCGCCAAGTTTGCCTGTGGAAACAAGCTCTGACTTGGTACAGGCAGAGGAGCTCTCCTGGGAAAGGAGAATCCAGCTGAGCCTTGGGGGTTGCACAGGGCAGCCTCTATAAGTGGCCCGTGCTTTCCATGGGACACATGTTGAGGTCTGAGTCAGCAGGCAGGGATGGAGGTGCTGGGCTACAAGGACATAAAACTTCCACAGATTCAGCATGCTCCCCCAATCCCCAAGGCTACACAGATACATGTATCCCGAATACATGTCTGAATCATGGACACTGGTCTCCATCCCCACTGCGCCCCCTGCTGGTGTAGACCCTGCTGGGCCTTCTGCTCAGCATGTCAGTGCTTGTGACATCTCCAGACCCAACCAGCAGTCTCTAGGGACAGAATGAGTTTCAGATGCTCTGTTTGGCTGTGTGGGGTTGACAAGATATGAGTGACATGACCTCAGGTCTCCTTGCACAGGGATTTCACTAAGCCTTTGGTGATTACAGATCTAAAACCCTTCCCAAAGCATTATTTTCCCAGAAAATTCGCAGTGATGCAGGCTCCACCCAGGAAGCCAGGTAGTGGTGCCTTCAACTCTGTGATTCTTCACAAGAAACACATCAGGCCTCCTGGGTCCACATCATGAACTGCCAACTCCACCACCATCCACATCCCTACCTACCAAAGGCCAAGGGTAGTTTAATTGAAGCTGACCTCTCCTGGGTTTCCTTCATGCTTTCATCCCTAATGTCTGCCCAATCTTAAATTCTTAACATTTGGAAATAAAAACGTTCACATCATTCTGTACTTTTCCAGTTTTCTATGGGAAAAATTATATACTCTACATTTTCCAGTATATGCTTTTTATTTTTGAAAACAACTTCTGGAATTTCAGGTACTCCTTTTTTCTATCATTAAGAGGTAACTAAGGCTAACTAAACAGTTTTAGCATTAGGATCTTGTATCTTCTATGAATTTACAAAAATCTATTTGATACTCCAAAATCAAGATTTTTACTGACTGTCCTCAGCCAGCTTCCGCTTAGGATAACTGGTATAGAATGCTGTCTCTACTCTATTTTGGGAGTGGGAGAAAAGGGGAAGCAGGAAGTTAGAAAACTGGCAAAATACCAACATTAAATATTATCAAATGTCCTCTGAACAATATGCCAAAAACTGCTAAACCCAAAGATGTATCCAACATGGATAGTCACAATCTGTGTCAATGGCCTGGCTGCTCTGCTAATTACATTTAATTAACAAATGGACACAAGGTAGGGAGAGTTAGGGTGAGCTTTCATTCTCCTCCCCCTTCCATCTTGCTTGTTTACTCACAGGGCACTTGGACCCCTCATTCTCCTGCTGCTTATGACAGTCAAGGTGGTGGCAACTGGCAGGGCATAAAGGAGTGGTGCCTGAGGTGTGGCTGGGCTCTCAAAGTCCAGAGTCCTCAGATGTGAATTGTTCCCTGGTTCTCCAGCATCTTCCTCTTACACAGATTCTGAGACCCTGCTGAGCTGCTCCCCAGACAAGCACCACATGTGGGCAGCTGGGCCACTCCACAGGGAGGTTTTTGTTCAGGGCTGTACCACTGTGGGAGGCCAGTGTGTACCTTGCATGCAGTAATAAACCCCAACATCCTCAGCCTCCACCCTGCTGATTTTCAGTGTGAAATCAGTGCCTGACCCACTGCCGCTGAATCTGTCTGGGACCCCAGAGTCCCGGTTAGAAACCTTATAAATTAGGCGCCTTGGAGATTGGCCTGGCCTCTGCTGAAACCAATTCAAGTAGGTGTTTCCATCACTGTATACGAGGCTTTGACTAGACCTGCAGGAGATGGAGGCCGGCTGTCCAAGGGTGACGGGCAGGGAGAGTGGAGACTGAGTCATCACAACATCCCCACTGGATCCTGAAATAAATAGAAAGAAGAGCAAGGTTATGTATAAAGTTTATGTGTAATTTTCATAAATTTTGATTTGTTGTTTATTTCAGGCTATATATGTATTTGTTCATATTTCAAAAATACACAGTTTCAAAATGGAACTCAAGGGATCCAAGGCTCAAAGGGGTCTCCAGAAGACCCCACACCATCCCCTTTCTGTGTCAGTCTTCCCCAGAGCACAGATCCTTGTTTCTGCTTGAATCTTCCTCACTCTCACAGATCTGATCATCACATGCCCCACTCTGGAGGACAACATGTGCATGTCCAATACAGGAAAGGAACACACATAGGAGTGTAGTGAGACCCCCAGAGATCACTGTTGTTAGAGGCAGTGGGGCCCCAGAACTCACCGTTCCATGCCATTCTCCTCCCTCATCTCCCTTCTACCCTTACCTGGGACCCAGAGCATTAGCAGCCCCAGGAGCTGAGCAGGGAGCCTCATTGTGAGAAGGTGAACTGAGGAGTCCTGATCAGTCAAGGCAAGGGTAGAGCTGAGCTTTTATCTCAGACTCACAAGGAAAGTCTTCACTAAGGGATAATATGCAAATCACCTGGTGGGTGCAGTGGGGTGGAAAGAGCCAAGGGGAGGGTAGGAGCCTCTCTTGTGAGCAAAATGACTTAAATATCTTCTCTGTTTGGAGGGAAACGAATAGGCATAAAATCTATGCTGTCTATGTTGGAGAAATTTAAGTATTTCCTTCTGTCTTCCCTAACAGATTTCTTGTTTCATAGTACTCTCCCAGGCACATTTTATACTTCTTGTTAATAAGGCCATGTTTCCACAAATATTTACTAATTCTTATGTTTTTGTTCATTTTTGTTTAAAAGAGTTCAGATTTGGCCCTTTCAATTTTTTAAAAATTTAAATAAAACACACACAAAGTAAAAGACAGAAATGTTAAAAAGTGCAACCGAATAAAGTTTTACATATATTCTCCACCGAGATTAAACTGTAGAATACTGCAGAATCTCCAGATTCTTCCCTCATGTACCTACCTTTCAGGAAACAGCTGTTTCCCCATCCCAATCAAGGAAACTGGCATTCTGACATCTGTCCAAATAGATTGGCTTTCCCTATACGAAACCTCATATAAACGGAAGTAAACATGTTGGTTTGGTCTAGCTCTTTTTTTGTTCCCTTAGTACTTTTGAGGCCTTCCTTCCTCCTTACAGATTCAAGTTACTGTCTGCTGTCATTTTTTGTGAATCTGAAGAATTTCCTAGATAAATTGTTATACAGCATGTCTTTAAGTAATTATTTCTCTTCATTTTTGTTTATCAAGAAATGTTTTTACTTTACTTTTATTTTGAATGCATACTTTCACTGGATATTGAATCCTAGGTTTTGTTTTGTTTTGTTTCCCTGCATTTACATATGTCATTCCGCTGTTTTCTAGCCTCCTTTGGGCACGATGAAAAGTTAGCTGATGGCTTTATCACTGTATTTCTGTATATAGAGAGTCATTTTATTTTTGTGCATTTGCGATTTCCTCCTTGTCGCTGGTTCAGCATTTTAATTATAATATGTATAGTTATGTGTATCATTGTGTTTGTCCTGAATAAGTTCTTTCAATTTCTTTTATCTATAGACGAATGAGTTTCATTGCTTCTTGAAAGCTTTTGTCATCCCTCCAAAATTTTTTTGGCCACTTTCTCTGTCTTCTCCTTTCTGACTCATTGCATATTTCTGGTCTTCTTCACATTGACTTGTAAACCTCTAAGGTCATGATTATTTTTCTTTAGTCATTTTCTTTCTTTTTCAGATTAGATCATTTCTACTAAATTGTCTTCAGGCTCATTGATGCTTCTGCCAACTTAAACTCCTGTTGCCCTATCTAGTGAATTTTCCATACTGTTTTTATAGTTTTCATCTAGAATTCCTATTTGTTCCTTTCCCATAGTTTCCCTTTCTCTGTTGAGAGTTCTCATTCTTTGAGTAATTGTCTTTATATTTTCCTTTTTCAGTCCTTGCTCATAGTTTTGAATATTCTTTGAAGCATTTATGTGACAACCACTTAAAACTCTTAGCAAAATCCAGTATTTAGGAACAGTCAAGAGTCAGCTTCCACTGACTGATTTATCTCAATATGGTTTATGATTTTCTCTTTCTTTTCAGGAATTTTAATGGAAAAATGCCGGTTGATAATATATTTTTTATGTCTCACAAATAATATATAATTCTGCATTCTGTTTTATTTTTCTAAGATTGTTGAATTTCCTCTTAATTGACTGGTCTTATGCTGCAGAATCTATCCCTTACTAGCTGTTTGGCGATTGATATTTCTGATTTTTTTCATTTTAAGTTTTAGCCAGAAGCCCTACCTGTGTCTGCACAGTTTGGTAATCACCAGTAACTTAGGCATTTGTGTTGCTCAAACTCCTTGACCTCAATAATCTACTTTCTGCCAATGTATATGTGTGTGGCTTGAAGCGTGCCCATAAAAGACACCTCCTTCACTTTTATTCACTGGGCCCACTTGGGTCTCTGTCACTCAAATATGCAATTTCTAAGTCACATCTGCTCATTCTAAGAATGTGTGCAGGGATGATCTCTATAATTCTATGACTCCATGGTTTCCAGTAATCCATTATCAAGTTTTAGCTGGTGTACCAGTCTCCCAGGGTCATCACCTTGGACTTGCAAAACTCTGGGCCTTTTCTGGGCATTTCCTGCAGAGTTCAGCACCATTAGCTGAAAACACTGAAGGATCTTGTTCTACTCTCCAACCCAGCTCAAGTCAATCCCGTTTGGCAACAAGCTTCCAGTTGTTGCTGCCATTTCAGCTGGTAAAACTACAGTTCTAAAATTCTTGTTGACGAAGCTTGGGTGAAAAAAAGCAGTTCCAGGCAAAAGGCCATAGACTTTTCCTATCTGTTAGTCCGAGGTGCACCATTTTGTAAGCCCCCCTGCCATTTTGTAGACCTTGGTTAAAGTGAAACATTACACGGGGGGTTGGAACTGTGAGAAACATCCTGCCTAACCACGTGAATACAGGAACATCCCTATCGTCTTCTGCTGGACAGTGGGCCCAAGAAACATTCTTATCACGCCCCGCTGGGCAAAAGGCCCAAGGAACATCCTTGGCAAAACCGCCTGACCACAGGAACATGTTATCAACGTCCTGCCGGGCAGCAAGTAATACCGTCTAGACCCCTCCCGCCCATACCTATAAGTACCCCAGCCTGTAAGCGGCAGCGGGTTCTGGTATTAAGCTAGTCCCCCACCTCCACAGTCTTGTGCTGGACATAAAACCTGCTTTGCTGTAGAGCCGCCAACTCTCTCTCTGTCTTTCTTTAACCCTTCCCTTCCCTTCAAAACCTAACACTGTCCTTACCCAAAGCTCTCATCCTTTTCAAGATACAGCCATATCTCCTTTTATTGTGTTTTGCTTTACTGTGCTTTATAGATACTGAGATTTTTACCAATTGAAGGTTTGTGGCAACTCTGCCTCAGGTAACTCTTTTGGTGCCGTTTTTCCAGTGGTAGGTTCTTACTTCCTGTCTCTATGTCAGTATTGCTCAGCAATAGTTTTAAAAAATTAAGGTATGTACATTTTTTAGGCATAACACTATTGTACATTTAACCGAATACAAGATAGTGTCAACATAACTTTTATATGCACTGGAAAACCAAAAAATGAGTGTGACTCCCTTTATGATAATAGTCATTTTATTGCAGTGATTGGAAACTAGACCAGCAATATCTCTGAGGTATGCCTATAAACATGTCTCAATTTCTTTGATGTCTTTGGCAATTTCCAGAGCAGCCACAGTGACGAGGTCTGGAGCGAGGGTGCACTTGCAGTGATGGTGGGTCTGGGGCTGGGCATGGGCTAGTCCACATAAAGGTGGCTTACTGTCTGAGTTGCCAGGGCAGGGTGAGACCCGGAGGCCTGGGTCTGGGGCAGTGCAGAGGGTAAGGTTGATGCCAAGGGGCTGGGAGGTAGCCCTGTCACAGGAGAGAAAACAATGGCTCCTCACTGCGGAGTGCGTATAGCAGCATCTCCCTCTCTGGGGAGTGTGCGACTATGGCTGCAGGTAACTGTCCAGGCAAAAGCACCAGTGGCCCCTGTGGAGCAGGCTGCTGTGATCCTCGACAAGAAATATTAAAGGGCCTCCACTGGGAAAGCTGAATGGTGGGGGATTGCCTGGGTGGCTGCTGAGGTTATCAGCAGCAAAGGCTGCAGGGTCCTGCCACAGAGCAGGCTATGGGGCCCACAGTGGCACCACCGTTGGCTGATAACAATTGCTTCCCCTTTCTTTGTTCCTAGAGGTATCAGGGCTCTCAGGTGTGCCATCAGCTTCCAGCCATCCTTTGCGTGTGCTTATTCTTGGCTTTTTACTCTATCATGTTGCTGCATGTTTGTAATTGAACTCTTCAGCCCTCCCAGGGTATTGGCCTTCTTGGATAACTGACTAATTGCTGGGTTTTGTGAGGGCTGAAGCCTGGTATCTCTTACTCTGCTATCTTGCTAACATCAGTCCCCAGGACATCATTTTGGTGATGATATTTTGAATTTTGCCCTGACACTATTATGGAATAATACTTAGACTTGATGGGGTGAGAATTAGAGCATTTAACATGTAAGAGGGATATGAATTGTTTGGGCCACAGGGTTGACTGATGCCAGTTATATCCTTCAAGATGGCTGTCACAAGGCCTACCATTCTACAGGTTCCTCTAAAAGTGTGATCTCTGGGTGGGGTTTCCACGATGCCATATGCCTATCTCCCCCCACAGTTAATCAGAATTCTGAATCTCATATTCTTTATAATTTGACTTTCCTCTCTGTTAATTTCTTCTATATGTATTCATCAAATAATATTTTTAATTTATTTGTTTAAAACCCTATAAGAAGGAATTCATACAAATAAAACCTAATTCATGAATCTTTGTCTTTGTGCCTAGTGCTTTGTGTGTTCTCTTTAAGAAATTTATTTCTGCACCTGTTTATGATATATGTTTTTATGCTCTTTACTAAAAGCTTTATTATTTTGCCTTCATATTTCATTTTATGATTCATTTAGAGTTGATATTTATATAATATAGAGGTGAAATATAGAGGTCAGGATTCATTTTGATGTAATATAGATATCTTATTGATCCAATACAGTTCACTTATTATATATTTTTCTACTGATCACTGCTCTGGTCTGAATGTCTGCATCTCATCCAAGATTCCTGTTTACCCCATGCAACAGGATTACAAAGTGGGGCCTTTGGGAGCTGATTATTCATGAGGATTCCACCCCGGTGAATGGGATGAACGCCCAATAAAAGTGGCTTCACACAGAATTTGTCTCTTTTGCCCTTCCACCTCCACAACGTGAGGACACAGCCACAAGCCACCATCTTGGAAGCTGGAGCAGCCCTCATGGTACAAAAAGATTGCCAGTGCCTTGACCTTGGACTTCCCAGCCTTCAGAACTGTGAGAAAGTACATGTCTCTTGTTTTAAATTACCTGACCAAGATATTTTTCTCTTTCAGTATGCATCATCTATGGTAACAGTGTTTTTTTCTTTTTTTTTTTTTTTTTTTTGAGACGGAGTCTCTGTCACCCAGGCTAGAGTGCAGTGGTGCGATCTTGGCTCACTGCAATCTCTGCCTCCCAGGTTCAAGTGATTCTTCTGCCTCAGCCTCCTGAGTAGCTGGGATTACAGGCATGTGCCACCATGCCTGGCTAATTTTTGTGCTTTTAGTAGAGATGGGGTTTCACCACGCTGGTCAGACTGGTCTCGAACTCCTGACCTCGTTATCTGCCCACCTCAGCCTCCCAAAGTGCTGGGATTACAGGCATGAGTCACTGTGCCTGGCCCGTGGTAACACTTTTATCATAAATTGGGTGATTACATATGTGCGGATCTGTAGTTACATTATTAATTAGTGTTATTTGTAACAGGGTTTGATATTGCCTGGTGTTATTCCTTCAATTTTGTTCTTTTTTTTTTTTTTTTTTTTGAGACAGTCTTGCTCTGTCACCCAGACTGGAGTTCAGTGCTATGATCTTGGCTCATTTGCAACCTCTGCCCCCTGGGTTCAAGCGATTCTCCTGTCTCAGCCTCCTAAGCAGCTGGGACTACAGGAATGTGCAACCATGCCTGGCTAATTTTTTGTATTTTTTTAGTAGAGTCAAGGTTTCACCATGTTGGCCAGGGTGGTCTAACTCCTGACCTCAAGCGATACACTTGCCTCAGCCTCTCAAAGTACTGGGATTATAGGCGTGAGACACCATGCCTGCCCTGTTATTCTTTTTTTGTTTTGTTTTGTTGTTGTTTTTTGTTTTTGTTTTTTTGAGATAGATTCTGGCTCTGTTCCCCAGGCTGGAGTGCAATGGTGCGATCTCAGCTCACTGCAACCTCCACCACCCGGGTTCAAATGATTCTCCTGCCTCAGCCTCCTGAGTAGCTGGGATTACAGGCATGTGCCACCACACCTGACTAATTTTGTATTTTTAGTAGAGATGGGGTTTCTCCATATTGGTCAGGCTAGTCTCAACCTCCTGACCTCAGGTGACCTGCCCACCTCAGCCTCCCAAATTGCTGGGATTACAGGAGTGATCCACCACGCCCAGCCCGACCTGTTATTCTTATGCAAGATTCCAATGGCTATTTTTGTCCTTTTTAAATGCATGTGTGATATGTATGTATCTATATATATACACACACACTCTCTATATATATATTATACACATACATATCACTATATATATACATACACCATATATAGTGTGTGTGTATATATATATATATATAGTGCGTGGTATGTGAGTACATATATATATATATATATATATATACTATATATATATGAAACATCATTTCAATTTCACAAAAGTCCTCTGGGATTTTAATTGTCACTGTATTGAATTAATTAAGGGAGAATTATGTTACTCACAATATTAAGTTTTATAATGCATGAATGTGGTATAAACTTCTATTTATTGAAGTCTCCATTGTTTTCTCTCAATAACTAAGCAGCCACCATAGTAGCTTCCCATAAGTAAACAGAAGGCTTGAGGAAAAAACACCAGCTGTCTTGTGGAGGTTTGGTTTCCTGTGGAATCACTGTGGAATACCCACCACTATGCTGATAACAGTGTTAAAGTGCAAAATCTTCATGCTCCAGCCTGCTGATAATGAGACTGAAGTTTTCCCCGAACCCACTGCCACTCCACCAGGCTGGGACATTGGTGGTCCTGGTGGATGCACCATGGATGAGGAGCCTGAGAGCCTGTCCAGGTTTCCACTGATACCCTGCTAAGGAGCTGCTAATAGTCTACTTGGCTCTGTAGGTGAGGGTGGCTTTTTCCCCTAGAGATAAAGACAGGGAGGCTGGAGACTGTCATCACAAGTTCTCTGGTGGTATCTGAAATTGGAATAAAAACAGAAATGTCACACACGTACACTACATCATACCTATTGTCTTCCCAGTGCATCCAGGACCATTGATCTACATTGAGCTTTAATCATTGTGCCTTCCCAGCAGGTGTGCCAGGTAACAGGACTCAACAAGGTTGAGAAAGTTTCACTGACATGCAGAACCATCCGGTGTTTCCTGCACCTGGGAGCCAGAGTAACAAGAATCAAAGCAGCTGAGCTGCAGCTTCCATGGTTCCCTCTGGGTCCTAACTGAGCTGCTCTTTCACAGACCTACCCCCACGGATTGATATGGGCTCTGGACAGCAGGGTGGCTGGGAGAGACATGCATAACAGCCACAGATGGCGCTGGGCTTCGAAACTGCAGAGACCACCTGCCTGGTTCAAATGATTCTCCTGCCTCAGCCTTCTGAGTAGCTAGGATTACAGGCACCCACCACTATGCCCGGCTAATTTTTGTATTTTTAGTAGAGACGGGGTTTCGCCATGTTGGCCAGGCTGGTCTTGAACTCCTGATCTCAGGTGATCCGCCTGCCTCGGCCTCCCAAAGTGCTGGGATTACAGGCCTGAACCACTGTGCGCGGCCACCATTGCTTCTTGAAGTAGATTTCCCAGCACTCCTTTTGCCTTTCTGGTTTCCTAACCATTATATCCTCTGGTCTTTGAAAAGTTGTAATTTAGACATGGATTTCCCATATTAGGAAAAACTTTCTATTTGGGTTACCTACAATAGCTTCTCTTTTGTTGTATGAACCTGGACCAGTGCTGTAACCCAGAGTCCTCATAGGTAATGACTCTTCTATGAAATTAGGAGAGGCATTGCCATGTCTGCTGCTGGGGCTGAGGAGGATAAAAGAAACTAAGGGTGTAGAGACACTTCCCTTACCCCTTCTATGAAAACTGCTCAGTGACCTTCAGAGTGTGGCTGAGTCTGAGAAACACTCTCAGCAGATGGAGGAAACAGGAGAAGCAGCTGGGGCAGCCCACCCTCACATATCTGCTTCCTTGGGGAGCTTATTGGGTTTGTAACACTGTGAGAGGGTCACTTTTATACTGTTGACCAATAATAAGAAGTTGCAGCAACTTCAGACTGGAGGATGCTAATGGTGAGAATCAAATCTGTCCTGGATCCAATGCCACATAACTGCAATGGGACCCAGGTTTGCAAATTGGATGCATCGTAGATCAGGAGCTCAGAAGCTTTCCCTGGCTTCTCTTTGTATCAGGCTAAAACATGGCTAATGCCCTGCCTGACTTTCCTGGCATGTGATGGTGACTCTCACCTAGACAGGAAGACAGCGAGGATGGAGACTGGGTCATCTGCATGTCATATCTGGCACCTGAGATGGGAAACAAAACTATTAACACTATTAACCATGTTATGAGAGGACTTTCCTGAATAGCCAGGTAGTACTGACCACACTGGCTCAGTAAATTCCTAGTGTTCTCCTTCCTTGCCTGAGAGCCAGAGCAGCAGGAGCCCCAGGAGCTGAGCAGGGACCCTCATGTCCATGCTGTGTCTTGACTGGGACTGACTCTTGCAAGTGGTATGACCAGCCTGTGTACAAGTCTTCAGGAAGTTGGCTGTGTTTTTTTGAAAATGAAAATTTCAACAGATGCAAGAATGACTTTACCTGCATAATATTGCACAGGCCTAGTGTCCCCCAGGGGTCCTAAGATTGATCAGGCCTGCATACACTTGTTAGCAGAGAACAAGTTTCTCTCTGGGGGCCACAGAACAGAATCTGTCTACTGTCCTGCAAGGAGATTGCTTTTCTGCTCTGCAGAAGTAGGTCATGACCTACTTTTCTTGCTAGCTTCCCGTCTAAGACCTGGCTTGTTGGAGAAGCACATCTCCAGAATCTGCAATAAATTTTAGAAGTGTCCCGCGTTTGGTACTGATGAATATTATTGAGGCCAGAGAGACTTCTTCTTTGCTCTGATCCTCTAGAGCCCTTGATGTTGTAAATCATCAGCACTATCAGCCAGAGATGCAATGATGAGGTATAAGAAAGATGGATGGATACATAGATGGATGGATAGAAGGACAGATTTATTTATTAAAAATAAGAAAAAGGAAAATGTTAACACAAAATATGTGAAAGTAGTGTAATGCTTTGCAAGGATTGGGTAATCCTTGTACACTGGGTAAACGACATGGCAAATCTCTTATCTCAGACATGTGATCATCTTCCTGTATTTCTACATTTTCTTTCCTACTTCTTTCATCTAGGCCAACATCAGAAATCTTCTCCCTCCACTTCTGAAAAGTGTCAGCTACTCTCTACCTCTGTGTGCCATCATGCATTCCTATGCTAGATGTTTCCTGAGCTCCTTGGATTAATATGTGTGCCTTACGTCATTCTTAAGCTAATATCTTCCGGAAACTGAGATGTTATCTAGACCCAGTGCTCACATCTACTCTTGAATCTACTCTGTTCCATAAACTGTATATCTCTATATTACCAATCTCTTCCAGTTTTTAAGAGAAAGCAGTTCTTAATGACTGGGTTTAGGGCATTTGACCAAAGTAGGTTCAGAAAGAAAACCATGCACCAAAATGAAGGGGAAACCAAAATATTGCACAGAGTGTGAAACCCACATGGCATGGAAAGGGCAGTTGATGTGCAGTAGAGAGGGAAGACCACCAGAGGTGTTGAAGCTATAGTGGAGGGAGGAGGGTATCCCCACATAGGCGCAGGATGTGGGGCGACATCCTCCCACTAGCACATATGTCACAGCTGAAGCAGGATGAGCAGGGCCCTTCAAAAGGGGTAAAGCCAGTGGTACTAGCATAACGGCCCATGTAGATTGAGAAGGTCACCCATGCAGGAGTCAAAGTTAACAGTGAGCTGGCAAAGCATATCAGGGCTAATGCAGGTTGTGAGGCAGAAGAGGGAAGTTGTCTACAAGGAGCGTGTAGGTGGCAATGACAGCAGGAGACTAGTGTCACAAAGAGATGTTGATCCCATAAGTCAGTGTAGTAAGGATAATTAGAGCCAAGGTACCCAGGGAGAAATGTTAGAAATATTTTAAAAGCGCGTACTAGAATAAACTCTATGACTCTGGATTATAGCTATATCAGTGCCAATTCATGGTTTATGTAGATATAGGTAAAAAGATAGATGAATAGATGATGATGATAGATAGACAAATGATAGATAATAGATAGCTCATTTTCTCTAGAAGCGATGACACATCAGTCCCACTGAACACATTTAGTGTGTAGATCTTATTTTTCTGAATGCCGATTTCTACTAAAAGGAATCAGTAATCTTTGGAGAAATGGCTGATGTCAGGTCTAAAATAGGGGAGATGGAAGATGAGCTTGTACCATCTAGTGCCAGAAACTAAAAAAGTGCTCAGAGAATGATGGGATAAAAACAGCAGGTATTCAGAGGCAGTGTGAATGAGGCTCCCATTGGACAAATCAGAGGAGGGTTGACTATGAAAATAAATGATGATGGTAGCAGAGTATAACCCATTGAAGAAAATATGGATCCATGTCTATATTTCGATTAGGAGAGGGATATTCATGAAGTATCAAGAACATCTCCACAAATTCTTATCTCTTTCAAACAGAACAACAGTGAAGGTGCAGGGAGAAGCCTGGCAGACACCCCCTTCAGCAGGAGTCAGATTGAACCTCGTCAGTCATGTGGCAGATGGAAATCACACACATCCCAATAGGATTCAGTGAGAGCACAGTATCGCTTCTGGATATTCCCGCAACAGTTACACTAACAGAGTTCAATCCTGAAGAAAATTCAAACAAATTCATAAAGTCCAAACAAGGACACTGGAACTGTTCTAGATGGAAGAAAACTACGGAGGTACAGGCCAGCAAAGGCAACCCGTGAATCATTTTGTTACAAAAGACATTATTGGAACAATTAACAAAAGTTGAAATACACTTGAGGATTAGATGGAGTGATGCACCAGTGATGATTCCCTGGTTCCACAGATGTATTGGGTTATGTAGGAAAATGTCTTGTCTGAAGGAAATACATAGCAAAGTCTTAAAGGGTGGAACTATGAGGTCATCAAGTTACTCTCAATGGTTTAGGGGGAAATGTGTTACTTTGTACTCTACTTACAAACTTTCTGTAAATGTGAAATTGTTTCAATATTTTAAAAATAAAAATGGCAGCTCTTAAGAGCATACCCAAGCTATTCTAAGGTATTTTGTGATGGCACTGAGCCACACCTGTTACAACCATAAGACATGGAAATTTACTGTAGACGCACAAAGATAACACTGTGCTTTCTCAAAGGTGTGTAGTTCACAGACAAATTATTATCTGAAGACACAGGTCTCTTTAGTATCCATCAACTAAATGGGCATCCTATTCTTGGTTTGGGGACCTACATAGTCTACCCCTCACGACAAATGTAACTTGTTTGTTTTGTTTTGTTTGAGACTGGGTCCTGCTCTGTCCCCTACACTGGAGTGCAGTGGCAAGATCACAGCTTACTCCAACCTCAACCCCTTGGGCTTAAACAATCCTCTTGTCTCAGCCTCCCCAGTAGCTAGAACCACAGGCGTGTGCCACGGCATCTGGCTAATTTTTTCATTTCTTGTGGAGATGGGGTCTCACTATGTTGCCTAGGTTAGTCTCAAATTCCTGGGCTCAAGTAATCCTCCAGTCTCAGCCTTTCAAATGCTGGCATTATAGGTGTGAGCCACTGTGCCTAGACCCATGTAACTTTATTTCTCTCAGCTCATCAGCATGAAAGTTCTGACTGAGGATGCCAAACCTGATTATCAAAAAAACAAAAATCAAATCAAATACAGTTTCTTTCATCAACCAAATAGGATAGCTGTGAAACTGAAGCCTGAATTAGGATAAATGTACAACCTTAAATACCCCAGAACCACTCAGGATCAATTCTCTTCAAAGTAGGATGAAGACAAGATCACATCACCTGGGGAATTGCTCCGAGTTTCACGGAAGACACAGAGGAAGGGAGGATGAGGCTGGAGACAAAGCTAGCTCTGCTGCGAACTCATCAAGGCCAGGGAGCCCTCAACAGCCTGCTGGATCATAAAGGAGCCCTGTCAACACTGACAGAGCATCTTGGTTGGAGGTCTCCAATCTTGTATTTCAATGGAGCTATTGAGTGTCTCAGTAATAATGCATCAATCAAAGCTACATGCACACTCAACATGAGGGACCTCTTGCTCTGGGCCCCAGAAGTGAAGGGCCCTCACCAGGCTCTCCTCCCCTCCAGTCTTTCACAGAGAGAGACTGAGACTGTGCTAATATAGAGCCAATTTTCTTCTACATCACACCCTGATACTTGGGGTCCTGAAACTACCAATTCAAATGTTCTAACCCTAACTTCCAGGGACTTGGCCCCTTCTCTGGGCTCGTTCCTCTGAGAGTAGCTACGCAGTAGGCGTTCCCCGCTCAGACACAAAGTGAGGCCAGGTTTCTGCTGCTGGGAGGCGGGATGGCATGTGAATGTGTGTGAAGTGTCTGTATATGTGTTCAGGAGAACTTGTGTGGTGTGGAAAAAGCAAGAGATGGGGTAATGGCAGTAAAGTCCCAATTGCAACCCTAAAGCACGACCTGCTATCCTCACACTACCAGGTGCTGGTGAAGAACCTTGAGGAGCGAAAAATATTTAAATTCAGACGTAGGCTTCCAGATATTCAACCTGTAGCCAAAAGAGATTAGAATGGACTAGGTTTACACTCCTCTCTGGATTAACTAAAACACAGGACACAATACATGAGGCAAATGTTTTCAAGAAATTGGACATTAGAAATTAAGGATATTGAGCCCAGAAGATTTTAAACCAAAGGAGATGAAATTTGGAACGATCCATCTGAGACCCTGAGGAGAGTTGCCAGAGCATTGTGTAGTGAAAGGAAATCCATGAGGTGCCTGGGAGTGTCCCTGAAGAGAGGAAAAAGAATTGGAGGTCCAGAAAGACAGAGAAACAGAGGAGGGAGTTCAGAGAGAGCCCAGGCTATCCCCAGATGCCTCCCTCAGTATTCCACAGAGCACTGATGAGTACATGCACGTGGAGACCCTACCTAAGGCTGCAGAAAGACTGGCTGAAGGATTACAGGAAGATTCCTCAGTCTCCTCTTTTCATGTCATGAGACACTGCAGATGACTGAGAACCCGGTGGCTCCCCTGAGCTTATTTGTCATGCACTTTTGATGACATGAAGGTTATTCATGTTGGCCTTCTCTAGTAGATTCACCTGGAAAGCATTAAATTTAGCAGGAAAAAAGGGGGCAACCATGCCCTCAATGTGGAGTGGTCATTAGTATTGGTTACAAATGTGAACTGCACTAAGCATAAAGGGATTCATTATGGGATATTAAATAGCTCAAAAATTGTTGGAAAGCCTTAACAACAGGCTCCAGGCAAAACCTCTGGAACAATCTCACAAACTGTACTGCCGATTCAGGCTGCGGAGGAGTCCTTACTGCCTGAGACCCCATATTCAGACTGCCTCCTGCAGAGAAGACAGCTGTTCCTCTCACTACGGCCCACAGAAGGACAGCATCCCTGCCAGCAGCTACCAGAGATCTGACTCCTATCCTGCAGCTCTCCCTGTGTTGATAATATCCCTAAATTCAGTCCCGTTCACATTCATCGTTTTTCATGACTACATATCTTTTTCTATCTCCATCCACCCTTGTGGCTTGACATCACCAATACACACTTTCCCACACTTGAATTCCTTTTTCACACATTAAAAGCAATGTATTAACACCTAACATATTGCAAACGTTGTCTTTACAAGTAACATCAGGATCACTTCTACCTAAAGAATGGGGACACCCAAGACTGAACCAGGAAGAAGTTGAATCCCTGAATAGACCAATAACAAGTTCTGAAATCGAGGCAGTAATAAAAAGCCTATCAACTAAAAAAAGCCCAGGACCAGATGGATTTACAGTTCAATTCTACCAGAGGTACAAAGAGGAGCTGGTACCACTCCTTCTGAAACAATTCCAAACACTTGAAAAGGAGAGACTCCTGTCTAACTTATTTTAAGAGGCCAGAATCATCTTGATACCAAAACCTGGCAGAGATTAAAAAAAAAAAAAAAAGGAGAAAACCTTCAGGCCAATATCCCTAATGAACATTGATGCAAAAATCCTCAATAAAATACTGGCAAACCATATCCAGCCACACATCAAAAAGTTTATCCACCACGATGAAGTTGGCTTCATCCCCGGATGCAAGGCTGGTTCAATATACACATAATTCATCACATAAAGGGAACTAGAGACAAAACCCACATGATTATCTCAGTAGATGGAGAAAAGGTCTTCGATAAAATTCAACATCACTTCATTTCAATAAACTACGTATTGAAGAAATATACTTCAAAATAATAAGAGCCATTTATGACAAACCCACAGTCAATATCATACTGAATGGACAAAAGCTGGAAGCATTCCCCTTGAAAACCATTACAAGACAAGGATACCCCTCTGTCACCACTCTTATTCAACATAGTATTGGAAGTTCTGACCAGGGCAATCAGGGAAGAGAAAGAAATAAAGGGTATTCGAATAGGAAGAGAGAAATTCAAATTATCTTTGTTTGCAGATGACATGATTCTGTATCTAGAAAATGCCATTGACTCAGCCCAAAAGCTTCTTAAGCTGATAAGTAACTTCAGCAAAGCCTCTGAATACAAAATCAATGTGCACAATTGACAAGCATCTACACACCAACAACAGACAAATAGCCAAATTAAGAATGAACTCCTATTCACAATTGCAACAAAGAGAATAAAATACCTAGGATAACAGCTAACGAGGAAAGTGGAAGACCTCTTCAAGGAGAATTACAAACCACTGTTCAAGAAAATCAGAGAGGACACAAACAGATAGAAAAACATTCCATGCTGGTGGATAGGAAGAATCAATATCGCAAAAATGGCCACACTCCCCAAAGCAATTTATAGATTCAATCCTATTCCCAATAAACTACCATGACATTCATCACAGAATTAGAAGAAACAATTTGGCCGGGCGTGGTGGCTCACGTCTGTAGTCCCAGCACTTTGGGAGGCCAAGGCGGGCGGATCACGAGATCAGGAGATCGAGACCATCCTGGCTAACACGGTGAAAGCCCATCTCTACTAAAAATACAAAAAATGAGCCAGGAGTGGTGGCAGGCACCTATATTTCCAGCTACCCGGGAGGCTGAGACAGGAGAATGGCGTGAACCCAGGAGGCGGAGCTTGCAGTGGGCCGAGATGGCACCACTGCACTCCAGCCTGGGTGACAAGGCGAGACTCCGTCAAAAAAAAAAAAAAAAAATTAAAATTCATATAGAACCAACAAAGGTTGTGTAGCCAGGACAAGCCTAAGCAAAAAGAACAAAACTGGAGGCATCATACTACTCAACTTCAAACTATGCTACAAGGATACACTAAGCAAAACAACATGCTACCAGTACAAAAACAGACACATAGACCAACGGAACAGAATAGAGAATTCAGAAATAAAACCACACATCTACAGCCATCTGATCTTCAACAAACCTGATAAAAAGAACAAAAACAAAAACAAAAACAAAAACACAAGCAATGAGGGAAGTACTCCCTATTTAATAAATGGTGCAGGGAGAATTGGCTAGCCATATGCAGAAAATTGAAACTGGACCCCTTCCTTATGCCTTATACAAAAATGAAGGCAAGATGGATTAAAGACTTAATATAAAACCCCAAACTATTAAAACCCAAACTACTTAAAGTATAATTAAAAAAAAAAAAAAACACCAAACTACAAAAATCTAGGCAATACTATTTAGGACATAGACACAGGAAGAGATTTTATGACAAAAATGCCTACAGCATTTGCAACAAAGCAAAAATTGGCAAATGAGATCTAATTAAACTAAAGAGCCTCTGAACAGCAAAAGAAACTATCATCATAGTGAACAGACAACCTACAGAATGGGAGAAAATTTTTGCAATTTATTCATCTGACAAAGTTATAATATCCAGAATTTACAAGAAATTTAAACAAATTTACAAAAATAAAAATAAAAAAAATTAAAAGGTGGACAAAGGACATGAACAGGCGCTTCTCAAAAGAAGACATACATGCGGCCAAGAAACATGAAAAAAGCTCAACATCAATGATCATCAGTGAAATGCAAACCAAAATCACAATGAGACACCATATCACTCCAGTCAGAATGGTGATTATTAAAAAATCAAGAAACAACAGATGCTGTCGAGGTTGCAGGGAAATAGAAACACTTCTAAACTGTTGGTGGGAATGTAAATTAGTTCAACCATTCTGGAAGACAGTGTGGCGATTACTCAAAGATTTAGAACTGGAAATACCATTTGACTCAGCAGTCACATTACTGGGTATATACCCAAAGGAATATAAATCATTCTACTATAAAGATACATGCATGTGTATGTTCATTGCAGCACGATTCACAATAGCAAAGACATGGAATCAACCCAAATGCCCATCAATGATAGAATGGATAAATAAAATGTTTTATATATACACCATGGAATACTATGCAGCCATAAAAAGGAATGAGATCATGTCCTTTGCAGGGACGTGGTTGAAACTAGAAACCACTATCCTCAGAAAACTAACACAGGAACAGGAAACCAGACACCAGATGTTCTCACTTAGAGGTGGAGCTGAACAGTGAGCACACATGGACACAAGGAGGGGAATGACACACACTGGGGCCTTTCAGGGGAGGGTGGGTAGGAGAAGAGCACCAGGAAAAATAGCTAATGGATGCTGGGCTTAATACCTAGGTGATGGGTTGATAGGTGCAGCAAATCACCATAGCACCTGTTTACCAATGTAACAAACCTGCACATCCTGCACATGTATCCTGGAACATAAAATAAAATGAATGGCAAAATCCAAAAACCTTCAGTCCAGAATCCAGCATTCCTCATGGGTCACAAATTTAACCTAAGGTCTAAATTACAAAGGAGACCAGACAACAACACTTTATAAAACTTTAAAGAAAATGGTGACTGTAAAAAGAAAATTTTTCAACAAAATGTATGCATGCCTCACATGATGTTTTGATATCTGTTTTATTAAAATTCTTCCATCCTCTGAGTACTGTCTGTAACCTAGGGTCTAGAAGGGCCAAAATACATTTCCTTGGCACTGTGATAATTTTGTATATGTGCTTGTAGCTTGTGTGTATGTGAGTATATACACACATATGTGGTCATACAACTTTGTTAAAACATAACTGTTTATATAAGTTTATGCAGAAAGCAATGTCTAAATATATATGCAAATGCATATATCATATATAAAAAGATAAATGCACATATGCACACATATATGTATAAACATATGTTTTATTCCTGGAATGTCAACCTAATGATTTTCAACAATCTGTAGTGTATATGTAAAGTTCCATTTTGATTATTCTGTTGAGTATTGCTACATATGTGTATCCTCAATACTAACTATTCCTGTTAGATGTTTCCATAAATGAGCTAAGTTGTATTTTATTTCTTCTGATTTAAGTATTATTTCTTCTATGTTTTTGTTTCTTTATGATTTTCTAAGTATTCATATTTATGCAGTCAATTTTCATTAAATGCATCTATATATGTGGATGTTTAATAATGTATTAGCTTTTCAACAATAATAGTTTGTAACAAACCACTCAAAATGCAGAGGCTTACAATACTAGTATTTATTTTCATGTTTACGGATGTTCATATTAACAATAATTTAGCTGATCTAGACAGGGCTCAGCTGCGTGGTTGTGCTGTAGGTTGCTGAGCTTATCTCTAATATATGGATTTTTTTTTAATTGGGGTCAAGACTGAAGGAGCAGTGATCAGCCAGGGCAGTTAACAACATCCTGAGGTCAAGCTACACAAGCAAATTTAAGTCCCATCAGCTGCAACACACGTATACAATATGTGGGTTTCTTCTTTTGCTTTAGCAATTACTCAAGGTTCTAAAACCTTTTCTCCAATTAAGTTTCAAGTTATGTGATCATGTCACTGACAAATAATTAAGTATTTCAACCTTCAGCATTAAAAAAGCAAATTTATTCTTAAATTAATTAAAGTTAAATCAAATTGAGTAAAAAAAATTGGATGTGTTTTCAACATGTGACTTTAATCAGATTTTCTTAAATTGACATGTTGGATAAAAACAACAAAAATTTCTTAGCTGAAGTAAACATTCCCTAAAACATAGCTTCTTAAACCTTCAATGGATCATCTGTTATCTTATGAAAATACAGATTCCCATTCAATTGATCTAAGGT
Organism: Homo sapiens; assembly: GCF_000001405.40. Lineage (NCBI taxonomy): Eukaryota > Metazoa > Chordata > Mammalia > Primates > Hominidae > Homo > Homo sapiens. The sequence goes on from NW_012132915.1 coordinate 372,599, forward strand.
GGTTTTGCTGTTTTGAATTGGTAACATGCTCTTAGTGTTGCTACTGGGTTCTGGACAAATTTTGAGTAGCAAGGTTTTTATATTAAAAAAATAATAAGAATGTTACATCTGTGTGTATACACACACACACACATATATATATACAAACATATAAGCAAATGTACACATATATATGTATGAACACATGTTATTTATGGAATGTGAACTTAATGATTTTCAATAAATCTATATTATACTATAAAATCCTGTTCTGATTACCTATATATATGCATACACACACAGACACACACACACATATTTTATATATATAATACATATTATATATTATGATATTATATATTGTATATATTATATATGTATATAATATACTATTATATATTATATATGTATATAATTTTATTAATATATATATTATATTATATTATATATTATATTATATTATATTATATATATAATATTAATATTATATATTATTATATATTATATTATATTAATATTATATATATATAATATATATAATATATATAATAGTATTATATATAATATATATAATAGTATTATATATTATATATATATAATACTATTATATATATTATATATAATAGTATTATATATATTATATATATAATACTATTATATATAATATATATATTATATAATATACTATTATATATAATATATAATAGTATATTATATAATATATATATTATATATAATTATATTAATATATAATAGTATCATATATAATAATAGTATATATAATATATAATATATATATTATATATATTATAATAGTATATATAACATATAATATAGTATATATATTATATATTATATATAAAATATTTATGTGTGGGTGTTTGTGTATATATAGGTGTGTGTCTGTGTTTGTATGCATATATATAGGTAATCAGATTATATATATATGTGTATGTATATATACACACACACATACACATACAGGTATTCAACAAAGGTTTTTTTTGGTCCAATGATTGCTATATTATTTAGTGCAATTTCTATTTTTTTTTTTAATATGCAGCTTTTTATTCCTCACCCCCCCCACCCTCTCCACTTCTGTCTCCAATGTTCATTAGATCACTCTGTATGCCTCTGTGTACTTGTAGCTTAGCTCTCACTTATAAGTGTGGACATAAGGTATTTGGTTTTCCATTCCTGAGTTACTTCACTTTGAATAACGGCCTCCACCTCCATGCAAGTTGCCGGGAAAGATATTATTAAATTTATTTTTATGGCTAAGTCATATACATATACATATATATATATATATGAGTCAACCATATACATATATATATATATATATATATATGAGTCAACCATACACATATATATATATAATGTTTATATATATAATGTATATATATAATGTTTATATATAATGTATATATATAATGTTTATATATATAATGTATATATATAATGTTTATATATATAATGTATATATATAATGTTTATATATATAATGTGTATATATAATGTTTATATATATAATGTGTATATATAATGTTTATATATATAAGTGTATATATATAATGTTTATATATATAATGTGTATATATATAATGTTTATATATATATGTAATGGTTTTTCTTCCTCAACTTTTACTTTAAGGTCCAGGGCACATGTGCAGGTTTGTTACATAGGTAGACGTGTGCTGTGGTGGTTCACTGCACAGATCATCCCATCACTTCAGTATTAAGCCCAGCATCCATTAGCTATTCTTCCTAATACGCTCCCTCTCTTCCTCCTTCTCCCTCCACCACAGACCTCAGTGTGTCGTTTCCTCCCGTGTCCATGTACTCTCATTGTTAGGCTCCCACTTATATGTGAGAACATGCAGTGTTTGGTTTTCTGTTCCTGCCTTAGTTTACTGAGGATAATGGCTTCCAGCTCCATCCATGTCCCTGAAAAGGGCATGATCTCATTCCTTTTTATGGCTGCATAGTATTCCGTGGTGCATATGTACCATATTTTCTTTATCTGTTCTATCATTGATGGGCATTTGAGTTGATTCCATGTCTTTGCTATTGTAAATAGTGCTGCAATGAACATACTCATGCATGTATCTTTATAGTAGAATGATTTATATTCCTTTGGGTATATATCCAGTAATGGGACTGCTGAATCAAATGGTATTTCCAGTTCTAAATCTTTGAAGAATCACCACACTGTCTTCCAGAATGGTTGAAGTAATTTACATTCTCATTAACAGTGTAGAAGTTTTCCTATTTCTCCACAACCTCCGCAGCATCTGTCGTTTTTTGATTTTTTTTTTAATCTGAGAAGGAATATCATTCTGTCACCCAGGCTTGAGTGCAGTGGCATGATCTCAGCTCACTGCAACCTCTGTCTTCCAGGTTCAAGCGATTCTTGTGCCTCAGCCCCTCAAGGAACAGGGATTTCAGGCATCCACCACCACCTCCAGCTAATTTTTGCATTTTTAGTAGAGATGAGATTTCGCCATATTGGCCAGGCTAGTCTTGAACTCCTGACCTCAAGTGATCCACTTACCTCGGCTTCCCAAAGGGCTAGGATTACAGGTGTGAGTCACGTTGCCTAACTTATTGTTTTTTGACTTTTTAATAATCGCCATTCTCACTGGTGTGAGATAGTATCTCATTGTGTTTCTGATTTGCATTTCTTCAATGATTAGTAATGTTGATCTTTTTTTCATATGATTATTGGCCTCATGTATGTCCTCTTTTAAGTGTCTGTTCATGTCCTTTGCCAACCTTTTAATGGGGTTGTTTTTTTTTCTTGTAAATTTGTTTAAGTTCCTTATAGACTCCGGATATTAGACCTTTGTCAGATGAATAAATTGCAAAATTTTTCTCCCATTCTTAATGTTGTCTGTTCACTCTGATGATAGTTTCTTCAGCTGTGCAGAGGCTTTTTAGTTTAATTAGATCACATTTGTCAATTTTTGCTTTTGTTGCAATGCTTTGGGCATTCTTGTCATGAAATCTCTGCCCGTGTCTATGTCCTAAATGGTATTGCCTAGATTTTCTTCTAGGGTTTTTATAGTTTGGGGTTTTACACTTAAGTCTTCAATCCATCTTGAGTTCATTTTTGTGTAAGGTATAAGGAAGGGGTCCAGTTTCAATTTTTGGCATATGGCTAGCCAGTTCTCCCAGCATTATCTATTAAATAGGGAGTACTTTCCCCATTGCTTGTTTTTGTCAGGGTTGTTGAAGATCAGATGGTTGTAGGTCTCCAGCATTATTTCTGAGTTCCCTATTCTGTTCCATTTGTCTGTGTATCTTTTTGTACCAGCACTATGCTATTTTGATTAATGTAGCCATGTAGTTCTATTTATCATATGACTAAATATCATTTTCATGCTATGATTTCAAACTTACTCATAGTATATGGAAGTACATCCAAGTGTATTCTGAGGCCATCACTTCACTGAAAAAATCCTGAGAGTCGAGATACATGACCACACTACGATGTCAGCTGTCACTTCCCCATCATCACTATCATTCTGGAAGCACATTTGCCAGAAACCCTATGCCTTCTCTGGTTTTTGGTGGAGTTGCCCAGTGTGGGGCCTGCCCTGAGATTGAGAAGTAAGAAGAGGAGGATTCAATACTATCCATCAACACCTGCAGCAAGACATATGGACCGAGGTGAGGACTGCAGAAGCACCTGATGAAGTCCTCTAGGCAGCTGAGAGCATCTGCACCCCCACCCATGGGCTTCTCAGAAAGGTCTGAGGACCACATGATTGGCAGTTGTACCTTCTCTATCAGATGCATTCTGGATTCCGGAAGAGAATTCCTCTTCTCTAGTATTTGCGTCTTTGACTACTATACTTGCAAACCTTTAAAAGGCTGTAGTTTAGATTCTCACATCTTATATTTAAAAAAAATCCTACTTGGAATACCTAGAGTGGCTCACTATTGCTACATGAATTCCAACTGATGCTACAACTCAGACCCCTCAGGTGTAACCATTTCTTCTCAATGAAATCAGGAGAGGCATTGCCCTGTCTATGATACTGGGGATTAGGACAAGGAAAGACAGCTACGATGAAGTGGGCCTTCATGGCCCTTTTACAAAAACTCTCCAGTGAACTTCAAAGTGTGACTGCAATTTGAGAAACATTCTCAGCAGGCGAAGGCACCAGAAGGGGCATCTGGGACAGCTGAGCCTCACGCATCTGCTCCCCTGGGTGATTTATGTTATGACTTGTTACACTGTGGGAGGGAGATTATCATACTGTTGACAGTAATATGTTGCAATATCTTCAGGCTGCAGGCTGCTGATGGTGAAAGTAAAATCTGTCCCAGATCCACTTCCACTGAACCTTGATGGGACCCCTGTTTCCAAATTGGATGCATCGTAGATCAGGAGCTTAGGGGCTTTCCCTGGTTTCTGCTGATACCAATTTAAATAGTTGCTAATGTCCTGACTCGCCTGGCAAGTGATGGTGACTCTGTCTCCTACAGATGCAGACAGGGAGGATGGAGACTGGGTCATCTGGATGTCACATCTGGCACCTGCGATTAGAAACATAAACACAAATATTCATACTATTAGTCATATTATAGGAAGGCTTCCATCAAGAGCCAGGCTGTACTGAGCACACTGGCTGAGAAAATTCCTAGTGTTATCCTTCCTTACCTGAGAGCCAGAGCAGCAGGAGCCCCAGGAGCTGAGCAGGGACCCTCATGTCCATGCTGTGTCCTGGTTGGGACTGACTCCTGCACAGGGTGCGACCAGCCTATTAATAAGTCTTCAGGGCAGGGGGCTGTGCTCTGCGAACATGCAAATCAGCAGGGGATAGGGCAGGCTGGGCACAGCTGCAGGGCTGGCTCTTCTCAGTAACTCAGCATAGGAGCAATGTCCCCAGTGTCCCAGGTCGGACCAGGGCATCACAGATTTGTCCGTAAATAAGTGTTTCTTCCTGGAGACTGTTTGGTTACAAAGAACTTTTTTGAGTTAATTGTCAAAATTCGAAATATTCCTGAGGACTAGATGGAGTAATGTATTTTATTCGTGTATGGAGATGGAGATTATTTTTTAAAAAATACAATATGCACTTAATTGGAAGAAAGCACTTTGTGCTGTACTTACAACACTTCTGTTAGCATGAAATTATTCTGTTTTTAGAAAGGAAACTAAATAGAAAATATATCAAGATTGCAATCCCTGTCTACAGGCTATGCCTTTCCCTTTCGCTGTACTGCTGCTGACTTCCAATGGCCATCTATGCCCCTCATTGCTCTTTCTGAACCTGGAGAAGGCAGCTCTGCCTGCATGCATAGCAGACCACAGGGGCTCGAATGGCCCTCTCTTTGGGCAGTGTTATGGTTTCACTGTGTCCTTCAAAACCCATCTGTTTTTAAATTTATCTCAAAGCAACAGAATTGGGAGGTGGGGCCTAATGGGAAGTGTTGAAGTCATGAGAGCTCTGCCCTCATGAGTGGATAAATGCCACTATAAAAAGAGCTTGTGCTGTGGAACCGAACTGGAGTCCACTCACTCAGCTCAGTCAGATCAGATATTCACACTGAGTTTGCAGCAGGAGAAAGTAAAGGTTTGTTTGTTTGTTTGTTTGTTTTTTTGTAGGGCATCAGGTAAAGAGAATCAGGCAGCTAAGATTCAAATCCTGGCCTCACTGATGGCTTGCAGGTAAGGGTTTTTTAAGGCAGGAGTAAATTTCAGGAAAGCAGAAGTTACAGGTCAAATTGAAAATTAATACATGGAGGTCACATATTGGTTTTGGCCTAAAAGGGCAGGATATCTTGAAACAGGGGCTTACAGATCAAGGGTGGATTACAAGACTTCTAATTTACAATTGGCTAAGGAAGAAAAGCTTTGTTTAAACATTTGGGTTCAGCAGAAGAGACGAATTAGCTCAGGTTTATGGATATGACTTTTACCAGACCCCTCTGTAAGATATTTAGAACAAAGTACCATGGTCAGAGCTCAGTCCCCAGTTCTCCCTTTTGTGAGATCTGTGTGCTGGCAGATTCATTTGGAGGGGGTCTTGTTTCCTCAAAAACACCTCAGAGACATATACTAAAATGTCACCTTCAGTTTCTATAGGGGAACCCACCATCTTCTGAGTCTAGCTTATTTGGCCATTTTAGGCTGTTTTTACTTCCTTGCTTATCATGTTACTTACTTACGTCTTAAGGCTAGGTAGGTGCTTGGAATTTCCTTTGAAGAGAGTCAAGATTTTCTATTCTTTCCATGCTTGGGGTGTGGGGGTTGCAGGCTCCTGAGAGTGAGTCCTTGCTCTTTCCCATTTGTGGGAGTAGGGTTTCTCTCTCTCTCTTTTCTGCTCTTCAGTCATGCTAGGACATGGACTTCCTTCCTTCTGGAGGACTCGGGAGTCATAGTGTCATCTTGAAAGTAGATAAACTGATTCCTAATCTGACAGTTCCTTGATCTTAGACTTCCCATCCTCCAGAAGTGTGAGAGAATAATTGTCTGCTCTTTATCAATTACAATTTCAGGCATTCTGTTATACCAAGACACAACAGACTAAGAGAGACACTATCAGTAGATGATAACAGGAGTATGATAACATACCCCAGCTCTCTCCCCTCAGATGGAATAGCCCAGAGGCATTGTCCCCATGTTTCCACATGGGATGAAGCTTCAGTCATCCTAAGAGTTAGGTGGCTTTTAGGGGAGACTTTTGCCACCCATCTTCTATTTCCTGCTACACTTTCCTTCTTCCTTCCCAGTGTAAATAGGCTGCATGCACATAGTTCCTTCTTGCTGGTCAGCCCAGTTCAATGTGGAACAAATCCTTCAGGAACCCTTCAGCCAGGGTAAAAGTCTGAGAGACCAAAGCCGTAGCGCAGGGCCTGGGATCCTAGGTCGACTTTCCTCAGTTCTGTCCTCACTGGTCCTGAGTGGCCAGGACCCTACTAGTGCCAAAGAGGGAGGGTCATCAAATGTCTCCAGAGTCTTTACTCAGCCAGACTCTGTTATAGTTAGAAGAAAAAGAAGCACATGCTAAATAAATAAACATAAGTTATTTGTATATGCATATATGTAATTGTAACACACTTTACAAATTAAATATATTTCTATGCTATTTCAGATGTAATTTGTATTAATATATGTGTATATCTTATACATATATAACACATATAATATGCACTTTTCATGTAAATAAATATAATATGAATTGTTGTTATAAGGCATGGTTTTAAACTTTGGTAAATTGAGCATGAACAAGAAAATCCAGCAATAGTGCCCCACCCCATGGCCACTTTCCCACTACAGAGCCCAAGGGTCAGAGGCTCAGGACTCACTTCATTTCCTTTCTGGGTCAAGCCCTGACTCATAGATTGCTAAGGATGCTGAGGATTGCTGAGGATTGCTAAGATTGCTAAGGGTCTGGGGAACACAAAGCAGCAGGTGCCGAGGAGGCAGGGAGTGGGCCTCGGCTCCTGGTAGAAGGATGTTTTGTGCCCAGAGCTCAGCATGGGCATTTTGTCCCCTGGGGGTCCCTGTAGGACAGAGCAGCACATGTGGCTCATAGAATTAGGCTACATGTGGCTTATAAGAAAGGCTTACAGGTGTGGTCACAAGACAAAAGCCCTCCATGGCTCGTTGGCAGCCTCCCCTCTAACTGGAGCCATATGGGATCTCTCTGCCCAGCTTCTATGGCACACACAGCTGCTGGAACTCTGTTCACAATGAAACATTTCTCCCCCTTGCAAAACCTTCTGAATATTTGTTATTTTTATTGTGTGTTATTCAAGGACGACAACTTGTTGACCATAATATTTCCAAAAGGATTCATGGAGTGAAGTCAAAACTAGGTTGTCAACACTGTGACAGGATGTGAGAGAAACAAGGATCACATCCCTGAAGACAAGGGCAGCTCATGTGTGAGGTGAGGATAAATTGGCCTCATAAATTCAGAGCAGGATGTGGGAGAAAACACATTGACATTCTCTACTCTGTGATGCTCATCAGATGCTCAGGAGGTGCCCATACGGAAGGTGGGAAGCTAGTGGGAGGAGAAGGGGGTTTAAGATTTCAGAGCTGCCTCCCATTCTGCTCCACTGAGAAGGCCCCAGATCTTCAGCAGCACTCCAGGCAGAGCAGGAACTGGGGCGAGGTTTGTGCACCAGTAATGACGGGAGGTGGGGGCATGTGCCCCTGAAGGCAGCTTGGATGCTGATAGTCAGAATGACATCTGTCCAAGCCCATGGCCCTTAACCAGGGCAGGCATGGTGTCCAGGGGATAGCAGGAGCTCAGAGCCAGGCCTGGGTTCCGTTGGAACTGAGCTAGGATGCTGTTCATACTCTGGTCAGCCCTGCTGGTGAAAGTGACCCTCTCACTTGGGACGCCGGGATAGGGGCTGGATACAGGGTCCACACGATGTTGCCACTGGCATCTAAGTGGGAAACAAACATGAACATTCCCAAATATTAATACCAAAGAAGTAGTTCATTCAGTTTGATTAAGTTTCAATCAGAAAGCAAAACAGGCTGAAAACAAGTAAATCTTTCTGCTTAATGCAAACGAACTGAGGATGAAGCCGCAGTCCTCCCTCCTCATCAGAGTCAGAACAGCAGCAGGAAGAGGAGCAAAGGCGGGCCCCATGTCCACGAGGGCTTCCTGATACTGATCCTACTCAGAGAGGGTAGGTAGGGTGGAGTGTTTGCAGGGATTGTGACACCAAAATGGATGTGACTGGATGGCTTAAACCACAGAAATGTTATTTCTAACAGTTTAGGAGCCTGGAAAGGCAAAGCTCAAAGTCCAGAAAGGTTTTCTTGCTGGTGAGGACTCTCTTTTTAATTTGCAGATGTTACCTTTTGGCCATGTCCCCACATGACCATCCCTCAGGGCACGCAGGGAGGGTGGGGGAGGGAGAAAGCTCTATAGTGTCTCTCTTTATAAGGACAGTAATCCCGTGGTGTCAGGATCCTGCCCTGATCACCTCTTTAACCCTAGTTACCTCCTAGCAGGCTCTCTCTCCATCTGCAGCCATATTGGAGGTAAGAGATTCCAAATAGGAATTTGTGAAACATAGTTCCTTCCGTAAGAAGAGGGCTTTGGGGACACAGCCAAGGCAGTAGGGAGGGGCAAGATGAGGCTTCCGGTCTCAGAGCACAGGGGATTTTCCCATCACTAAGCACACTGGCAGCTCCTCCCAGGCGAACCATGTCAGACAGGAGACCCCAGTCCCGCCTTAGGGCCTCCCTGTCCATAAGGGGACATGATCACTTTTACTTCCTCATTACTTCTAAGATCAGACGTCTATCTTTTGTTTATTACGGTGTTTGTCTGCCATCTATTGGCCAGTTTCTAACATAGCATCTTACAGGATGTTAGATACTAGGGTCCAGTGAGCGTTGACTATGGATGAAATCTTTTCATGGGTATTCATGGAGTTGATCTTATGACATCCATCACTAGGACAGATTTTGTAGAAAACACGAAATGGCCCCTCCCCTCAATAAACCAGTCATCTAGTTGAGGACAAACGGTATGCAGGAAAAATATTTGTCACAAAACAATTAGGGTGGCTAGATTCTGGGATCCATGTGACATGCCAAAGATGTGGTTTTGGAAAAAAGAGAGGGCTGTAAAGGACCCTGTAGGGCATAATGGCAGGGACTGGGGTGAGAAGCTGACGGCCCCTGGTTTGGATCTGTCAACCCAGCCTCATTCCTCCCATCCCAGAAACACTTCCAGAGCAGCTCTGAGAACCACAGTAGCTTTCCGAGCTGAGGAAGCATCCGGGGACACCTGATCTTCTAAAAGAACAACTGCTGAGGTTTGTGTTCTCAGCTATAGCACTGCGAGTAATCAGATGTTATCATTTACATCTGTGCTAAGCAAAGTCATTTTCTAAGATGATGAAAATGTCTGTATGTATGAAGTGCAATAGGCTAGTCATCAGTCATATGTGGCTGCTGAGTACATGAAATGTACCTGATGTAACTGTGAAGCTACTTTTCTAATTTTAAGTATTTCTAATTGACACATCTGTGGCTATCACTGCTAGTGTTTCCCACGTGGAACAGCACAGTTGTAGACAGTAATAACCAGTAATGTCACTGGGACACCCAAGCTTCTAACTGTTAAGCAAAGGTGTGTCCCAGGACCACTGTACCAAGCTGGGGTGGACCATGGCCAAGGTAGACAGAGCACATGGGTGGATCTCAGGAACCTTCCCTGGATGCTTCCAGGCTGGTGATGGAAACTGTCCCTCTTGGAGACACTGATTGGGAAGCTGGAGACTGGGGCCCACATAGTTGCCTGTAGAATCTGAGGTGGAAACAAAACACAGATCTTCCCCAGTTAATGATGTCCCTCTCCATAGGCTTCCCAGCAGAGTCCTGCTGGCTGATCAAGTGGGAGGTGAATGCTGGGCTCCCTGAACAATGGCCTCAATCTGAGCCATTGTCCTATGGGACATATGAACTCTGTCATGTGGAGCCCCCTTAGCTGAAACCAGGGAACTAGAACCCAGAGGGCCAGAGCCCCATGTCCAGTGTCTAGTGCTGCCCCTGCCTATGGTGATCCCAACTCAAAGACAGAGACTGACCCAGTGATAAGGGCTTGAGTGGCAGGGAAGGGCTCTGGGGAGCCTGCAAACTGTCAACAAAGGAAAGACCTGGGCTTCCAACTTCTGAACCAGGGAACATTCTATGCCATGGGAGTGACCCAGACCAAGGTGTATGATGTAAGATATTACAGTAAGTTTTATCTTTACGGGAATAAAAATCAGAGAAGGCATCTGATTAGTTTAGCACTTGCTGACTTTTTCAGTACACACTGGTCCCTGCCCTTCCCATAATGATCCCGTGGTCTTTGCTGTTTTTGTGGTCACCTGGCTGCCTCCTCACCACTCAGATGAATCTTCAGTATGACCCTGGGGCCTTCCCTGATCAGCACAAATATATGGCCTCAGCCTCCAGATACCACAGACCATTCCTGCTTTTTACACAATTTGTCAACTACAGAAATTATTCTACGCACTTTTATTGTGTGGTTATTCTTCCTTCATGGCTCTTTCCCCTACTGAATTGGGACCCAAAATTGTCTTATTTACTCACGTGCACCTAACCTTCACTCGGTGGCCTTTACTTGTTCGTGAAAATGCTGCCATTAAGTGAAAATTTATTAAATGAAAAGCTATGTTTGTTCTACTCTATTGGAAAAAAAAAGAGTGAGCCACTGTGCCCAGCGGCACCTGTGTCTTTAAAGGCATCCATGCAGGTGAGTCTGTCTGAAGGCCTTGCAGTAAAATTGATTCAAAACCTAACTCTGTAAATAAGTCTGAGAAAAATACAGACATTGGAGTCACCATCTTGACAACGAGTTACTTTTCAGAATTTCAAAATTTCCAAATAGAGGCACAGTTGCTAAAACTGAGCAGCCATCATAGCTGCAGCCCATAAAGCTGCTGGTTTTAGAAAAAAAAAATCAATGGTTTTGTGAAAGTTTTTGTTTCATGTTGAATTACTGTGGGACACCCACTGCTGTACTGATGAGGGTAATAAAATTGTGACATCTTCAGGGTCTAGGCTGTTGATGGTTGGGGTAAAGTCTGCCTCAGGCCCACCACCACTGAACCGGGCTGGGATGCTGGTAGCCTTGGTAGATGCCCTATAAATAAGGAGCCTGGGAACCAGAACAGGTTTCTACTGGTCCCAGGCTGAATAGTTGTCAATGATCTGACTGGCCTTTCAGGTGAGGGTGGCTCCTTCCCCTGGGGACAAACACAGGGTGATTGGGGACCATGTCAGCACAACTTCTCCAGTGGTATCTGAGATTGGAATAAAACAGGAAAGTCAATTGTGCAATCTAGATCAAATCCACTGTCTTCCCAGTACAGCTGGGATCATTGATGTACATTGAATATTAATTATTGTTCTTGCTGAGCAGGTCACAGGACCCAATAACATTGACAGAGTTTCATTGGCATGCAGAATCATCCCGTGTTCCCCTCACCTGGGAGCCAGAGTACCAGAAAGGAGAGGAGCTGAGCTGGAACTTCCATGGTTCCCTCTGGGTCCTAACCGAGCAGCTCTTCCCGAGAGCTCTGACCCAGGCATTGATATGGGCTCTGGACAGCAGAGTGGCTGGAAGGATATGCAAAGTAGTTGGAGTGGGTGCTGGGCTTCCAGCTGCAGAGACCCCCTGCCTCCTCCTCTCTGCACTCAGCAGCCCCTGCCCAGGTGGTCAGGCCAGAAAAGTCCATTGGCTCAGCCTGATGGTAGAACTTCTTCCCTGTGGTCACAGACTATAGCCCCTGTTTCTTCCCGTCTCACTAGTCACCTAGACCCAGCCAGATGGTATTTAGTACAAACCTGTTGGGAATAAAATAGAAGCCTGTGGTTCTTTTCCTCTCCTTATTTCTCCAAAGAACCGAGTCATCTCCATTGGTGCATGAATGTACCTGGCTGAAAACTAGTTCATCAGAAGTTCATCTTCCACACACACTTTTCCTTTGCAGCTTAGCCATCTTTCCTATGAGCCCTGAAGCCTCCTCATTCTTTGTAAAAACTATTAAAGGGCAACACGCAATTAGGCCCAGCACTGTGGGTGTGATGATCATCACGGCTGCACAGATGAGCAGGCCCCGGGCTCAGACCCTTCAGTGTGTGTAATTCCATTCCCTGCAAACAGACGACAATGCTGTCCAGCAGGCCAGGAACAATTCCTTGGGTGATGCCCTACTTTCTATGCCACCCCATCCTGCACAACACATCCATTCAATCAGACTCAGGCCTTTCTCACTTTAATAATTTTGGAAACCTCTGCTCATGTTTCTGATCTAAACAATAATTCAATTTGGGGTTTCCTTGTGTTCCTTAAAATTGTGAGCATTTGGTGGTAAGTGACAGTTCACTGGACAGGCTGAGAAGCTCTTTGGGTTACATTCCATCTGAGTTCATTAATAGACATTGCAGAAATTTGTTTTCTCTCTTCTCTAAGTACTCACATAATATATTCAATTTTGCATCTTGCCTCACCAAACCTAAATATTTATTATCTGACTCCTGAGATAATCTGATAATACTGTCTTTTAACTAAAGAGTCAATAAATTTACTATAGTTGTGATTAATATGTGTTATTATATATCATATTCTATACAAAATTTGATAAATTAGAATACAATAATTATTATATGCTCTTGGGAAATACTACCAAATTATAACTCGAGACAAAGTACAAAAACAAAGCTCTGAGAATTATGATTTTTATTTTATTTTCTGAAGGCTGAGGATGAAACAGGAATAAAAGAAAAGAGAACGTTGTCAATAAAACAAGCTGCTTAATCCACTACTTAGTTCAACCATTGTGGAAGACAGTGTGGCAATTCCTCAAGGATCTAGAACTAGAAATACCATTTGACCCAGCCATCCCATTACTGGGCATATACCCAAAGGATTATAAATCATGCTGCTATAAAGACACATGCACACATATGTTTATTGTGGCACTATTCACAATAGCAAAGACTTGGACCCAACCCAAATGTCCATCAATGATAGACTGGATTAAGAAAATGTGGCACATATACACCATGGAATACTATGCAGTCATAAAAAAGGATGAGTTTATGTCCTTTGTAGCGACATGGATGAAGCTGGAAACCACCATTCTGAGCAAACTATCACAAGGACAGAAAACTAAAGACCACATGTTCTCATTCATAGGTGGGAATAGAACAATGAGAACACTTGGACACAGGGTGGGGAACATCACACACTGGGGTCTGTCGTGGGGGCGGGGGAGGGAGGAGGGATAGCATTAGGAGATATACCTAATGTAAATGACGAGTTAACGGGTGCAGCACACAACATGGCGCATGTATACAAATGTAACAAACCTGCCCGTTGTGCACATGTACCCTAGAACTTAAAGTATAATTAAAAAAAAAAAAAAGACAGATGGAAGAAGTGGGTGGGAGCTGAGGCCAGGGGAGGGGCAGATGAGCCAACACTTGATTTTTTTGTCCCAAATTGTGAAGACAGTTAGAGATTAACCCTGAATTAGGGTTTATCCCACCTACTGAGTCAAGATATGACTAAAAAATGATTTTCATATGACACCTTGCAAAACATTTCAAAATATCCCATAAATTTAATTGAGAAAAATACAAACAAAATTATAAAATACAGCTATTTGTATACTTTGGCCTATTTTGTCACCTCACTCAGCCCACAGCAAATATACTTCCTTGGTGAGTGCAAAGAGTAAAATGAGAGGCCAAGGTGGACCACCGGGGGCCAGACAAACCCTCCATGAGGGCTGAGGACCACAGATCCCCGAGGACAATCAGACATCCAGAGGGAGGGCTGAGGACCACAGGCCCCTGAAGACAATCACAGGTCTGGAGGGTCTTAGCCCATGACTTTCCTCTGTAGAGACAGATTCTCCCAGATGGTTGAGGGCTGTCTGTGGCTGTGTCCTTCCTTCCGCATGATAATGGGGGCAGAGCAGGTCTCTAAGCAAACCCTGAGCAAGGCCTTCCCCTGTGTGCTGCTCTGACCTGGCCATAGGTGGAACTGGATTTACTTAAGGAAGTGATTTTTGATCATGAGGAAAGGAGAGAGAATGGGGAGAAAGAGAGAGATAAATTGTGTATGTATGCACAGAAAGATTGGATACTTTAATAAGTTAGTTCCTTGATACCTGTGAGTGTTACCTAAATTGAGCAAAAAGACTTCACAGATGTCAATTAATAATATTAAGATGGGGAGACTATCTGGATTAACCATAATGGCTCTAAATGCAATCACAAATGTCCTTGTAAGAGAGGATGTGAGAAGTTTAACACAGACAGAAGAGAAGGCAGTGTGACCACAGAGAAAGAGACGGGAGTGATGTGACCGCAGCCAAGGAAAGCTGCAGCCACCAGAAGCTGAAAGAGGCAAGAACAGAGAGGCAAATGCCATTCTCTCCCTGTGTGTGTTTCCTGTAGCTCCTCTATCAAATCTCCACATCCTTGCTGGCTTCAAACAGCATCAGTTTATTCTTTTACAGTTCTGGAAGGGAGAAATCTCACACAGGTCTCACTGGGATAAATGAAGCTCTCACTGGGCTAAAAGTAAGCTTCCCTATGGATGCTGGGGGAAAGAACTTTTTCTCTGGCCTTTTCCAGCTTTTAGAAGCTGCTGTCTTTCCAGGCCCCTGGCCTTTCTCTTACATCACTCAGCGTCTTTCTTCCTTGCCAAATCTCCTCCCCAAATCTGATCCTCCTGCCTCAGTTTTGTAAGGACACTGGTGATTACATGTGACCCATCTAGATAATCTTCTCATCTCAAGATCTTTAGCTTAATCACATCTGCCAAGTTTCTTTTGCCATATAAGGCAACATTCATAGGTTCCACAGATTAGGCACAAACATCTTTTTTTTTTTTTTTTTTTTTTTTTTTTTTTGAGAAGAGATGGGGAGTGCTTTACTCACACTACCAATCATTCTTATTGGCCCCAAACTGTCCTTCTCTAAACAAGAATCCAAAATCACATAGCTGGAAGAAGGATAGAATGTGGGCAACCAACATCTTTATAAAGCAAGAGAGCTGGAGAGATCTGAGTCAGGGTCCTCTGGTCTGGGGTTTCCCTGGGCTGGAGGATTCTGCTGCTGCTGCTGCTGCTGCTCCAATGTGGACCTCACATGTGTAGCTATTTGTTAGAGACTATTCTGATTTTGGGACCCAGAAGAAAAGAATTGCTACTTAATTGCAATCTAAGAGAGATTGGTAAAGGAAAATTAAATGTTTCCCTAACTTTCTGAATTTTTCTACCCATAAAAAAAGAAATCCCTAGAATTTAGATAAAGATACCTCTACACATGAGAATTTGCCTATTGTCTTAAGGTGGGTCTTACAATGACAAGAATTCCCATGCTGACAACATATTTACAAAGCACAGAAAACCCTGGGAGAGAAGGGGGAAAGTGAGGCAGGGAAGACATGGCCAGTGAAAAGCTCATCAATAAGCAGCTGCTCATGAGGACCATGAGGACCACTAAAGCTCATGCCAATGTAAAAACACAAGAACCTCTGGGCTATTCTACCTGAGAGATGAGGGAGCTGTGGTATGTATACACCTCCTTTAGTCACCACAGATTGAGGGCTGTCCTAGGGGATGCTCATTCCAGGCTCTGAGGTCTACCATGCATGAAGTCAGAGGTGCCTTCTGTAGTTTCAGGGAGAGCAGCGAGGGGCAGATATCACCATGAGAAGTCAGCAGAAATGCAGAAAAGAATTAGGACAACTACTGCTACATCCACTCAAAAAAGATGTGTATGTGAAATCTGGAGGGTCCATGTGGGCCACATCTCTCTGGAATGCAAGAATGTGCCCTAGAAATTCAGGCTGCATGACAGGCAGCAGGGATTCTGTGCCCACACTGCACCACCATTGCTTGGCTACCCATAGTCAAGCATGCAGTTATACTCCCCGTAGTCCCCAGGCTCCAGGGCATTGATAGTGAAGGCATAGCTGGTTCCAGTTCTGCTGCCACTATACTGGGCTGGGATGCCTAGGACCAAGGTAGTGACATGAGATGTAAGGGGTTCAAGTCTTTGTCCAAGTTTTTTACTGATTCAAGATATTTCTCCATGTACATTGTTGCTGGCTTAGCAGGAGACAAAAACTCTCTTTCCTGAATGTACTGACAAGCAAGCAGTCTCCTGTGTTGGGATGATTTCCCCACTCACTGCAAAGAGTAAAAGAAGAAAGTGGCATTGATGGTGAACAGCAGGAATATGCACCCAGTTTTAGCTGCCCTCACTGAGGAGAGAGGGTTCACTCACTTAGCCTTTCCCCAGGTACTCCCCCTCAACTGCTCTCCAAAAAGCCAGGCCCCAGGGGAGCTGCTTCTGAGCCACCAGGAACATGCTGGTGAGGAGTGCTCAGAGCCTGGGTAGCGCTTGAGGCATCAGACTTTATAGAGACTTAGGTTCAGGGAAAGGCATAAGGCAGGTGCACACTAAAAAGAGGCACCGAGGGAAGGACTCACTAGACCTATGCAGTTGCTGGGTTTTGACCTAAGACTGGGGCCAGTACGCTTGTATGGAAATGAGCAATATTTAGTGGAAAACTTTCCTCTTTTGACAATGACCAGAAGGAAAATGATGCCTCTACCTGGAGGGAAAGGCAAGAAGAAGCACATCTCTTGTGATACTTAAGTTCATGGTCAGCCTAGAATCAGACAAGGCATTAGTTCAACATGCAGAGGAGACTGACTGTCAGGAAGTTGGGGAATCCTTGACATTAGGAAGGATGTTAGTAAAATTGGTATAAACTTCAGTAATTACTGTTTTTTCCTTCAGGCCATGGACTCTGGTGTCTCACTTTTGAGGCTACCCTCATACTTCTTGTGATGAAGCTTGCTTCATGTAGACTGGTTCAGGGCCTGACAGCCATTGCTTTGAGGGTTATGTGGAGCCATCACTGAAGGTGAATCTCAACTTGAATGACAGATGGTGGTGGCCACTGATGAGATGGGGCTTCCTATCTAAGAATCAACTCAGGTTTCTTGGCTCTTTGATAAATGGTTCCCATGCTTGGATCTTAAGGTGGAGGCCACAGGTCTGAGTTCTAAGTCTTTTCTTTCCACACCAACAGCCTTTCCCAGGAATCACCCTGGCCTCCTCCATGCTGGGAATCTAGACCCAACCCTCCTGCTACCTTCCCCAGCATCCAACAGTAACTGTCTGGAAGCTTTTATTTGTAAACCCTCCAAATGCAACCTCTGCCGGCAACATGGCTGGAGCAGTCAGCATCCTCCCATCAAAAAACACTGAGAAGGAGGGGAAACCTGCAAACACCACGGTGGTGTGGAGGAGATGCATGTAATCCTTAGATTTTATGTGTTTTCAAACTTTTTTGTCTGTTTCTTAACCATGGTTCTATTTTCACAATCTTGCAGAGGGAAGAATTGAAGATAAGAAGGGTTCTTTTATATTTAGAATATGAAAATAGAAATGACGACAGCAGGAGAATGGAATTTATAAACTCTTCGAAGCGGTTTGGGTTTCTCTAGCCAGGGACACAGCAGGACCAAGATGCCAGGAGAGGATATCACTTATTTTGGTTCCTGCCCTTCATGCTTCAGACTCCCACAAATGCACACATATGATAATGCCTGTCTTCTTCTAAAGAGCAGGTCTAAGGCCCAGCCGTGGTCTTTCACTGAGTATCTTTTCTGTCTAAATGAAAATAATTTTGGAAGTAGTGGAAACAAATGATAGCAATGGCTTAAGCAAAGAGGTCCAAAGGTTGGAGCTTTTCGAGTTGGTGAAGCATCTTGGCAACAGCAGAAAGGCCCCAGGTTCTTTCTCTATTTCTACTTTGCACCCCACCACATTGGCTTTGCAGACGTAGGCTCACTGCCTCATGGTCTTAAGATGGCTGCAGCGGCTCTAAGAATCAGTTCCTCTCATCATGATTACTGGAAAGAATGCAGGCCAAAATTCTTCACCACCTTCTTCTTTTTTTTTTTTTTTGAGATGGAGTCTCACTCTGTCGCCCAGGCTGGAGTGCAGTGGCACAATCTCGGCTCACTGCAAGCTCCGCCTCCCGAGTTCACGCCATTCTCCTGCCTCAGCCTCCTGAGTAGCTGGGACTACAGGCGCCCGCCACCTCGCCCGGCTAATTTTTTGTATTTTAAGTAGAGACGGGGTTTCACCGTGTTAGCCAGGATGGTCTCGATCTCCTGACCTCGTGATCCACCCGCCTCAGCCTCCCAAAGTGCTGGGATTACAAGCATAAGTCACCGCGCCCGGCCCCACCTTCTTCTTTTTATAAGGGATGAAAATTCTTCCCAGAATCTCTGCTCATCCCTCACTCCCTGACATCTTATTGTGGAACCAAACTCATGTCCCCCTAATTTCTGTTCCTGTCCTGGGCTGAGAGAAACTTTCTGTCCTCCCCATGCACAGCAGGACAGAGTTGGTGCCCAAGAAACCAAAGGAGGAAGATGGCTGCTAGGCAGGAGGCCAAAGCCTCGACACATTTAAATTTCACCTTGTGTCTAAGCCAACCTGGATGAAGCAGAAAGATCCCAACATTCTCTGAATCTGGTGGGGTTGGAACAAGCCAGGCCTTGAGGATGACAATGAAGTCAAATTTCTAATTTTCCACATGACAATGTTAGCTTCAGCAGTTGAGGAAATGTAGCCTGGGAATTTAAGGCCGGGACATACTTCCAAGTACTGGAATAAATGAGGGAGAGATCTGCAATAGGGACATGGGGGAGCAGTGGCTATGGAAGAAGGAGGAAAGCTGTGTGCTAAGGTTGGTGGTGCCACCTGCCCACCTGAGTGCAGCCCTCCCTGTGCTGGTTGCATCCCCATTTCAGTCTCATGCAGACCCCTCTGTTTACATGACTCCAGGTGCTATTTCTGCTCCCATCCACCCTGTGGCTTTCTGTCATGAGTACATATCTTCTTACACTTGAACCCTCTGGTATTCATGATATCAACAGCAATGTGATAACACCTAACAGAATGCAGACATTCCCTTTGCATATAGCAGCATGCTCACCTCTACCCAAAAGGTGAAAAAACTCAAATCTGTTCAGTCCAACACCATCTAGGAAAAACTGACCTTCCCTCATGAGTCACAAGTCAATCTGGATATCATTTAATCTGTGGTATGAATTATATAGGTGACCAAAACAGCACTTTGTATTAAAAGAATTTTAATAAAGGGACAGTTGAGAAAAAAATATTTAACATATGTAAATGTGTGCGTGACTCATTCAGATTTCATGAGTTGGTTTTCTCTGTATTCTTTTTATCCCCTGGCCTCCAGCACGATCTTTATGGTCGTTTCTGGTGAGGCTAACCTTCATGTCTCTGGCATTCAGGGTCCCAGATGTGATTAAGGCTCTGCACATGAGATATGCCCCTGCAGAGTGGTTTTCAGAAGTTAATAAGGGAAGGGGAGATGCCTTCCAGAGGGGCTCATTCTCCTGGTCTGGGTCCTGGCCAGGCAGCACTGTCCTGTGGGCACAGCATCCTGCCTCACAAGTTTCCTGTCACAATCAGAGGATTTTTCTGCATAGAAACGCAGGAAGAAACAGGGAAGTGAAATGAATGCCTGAGCCCACTCCTCTGCTCTTTCCATCTGGCTTAGTTCACCTAATCCATGACAATAAACGCGAGTTTGCTTCACCAGCCATAATGGCTTCTCTTGTATCTGACTGCTTCGATGACAGAAGAAGGAAGAAGGAATGAGTGGACTGGCTCCTGTACTTCTCTACTATGAAGCTGACCTAGAGGCTGTAGCTGGTGTTCACATCTCCTAAGTTCACTGTGCGTTTCATCTCCCCTCTGCTGCACTAGTGTCTAAGTACATGTGATGCTTCAGCTGTGTTACTTAAAGCTTCACTCTGGAGTCTGTAGAAGTTTCTCTTCACTTTTACCAGTGGAAATGGTGGTAAATGGAAACATTCCCAGCTGGGCACAATGGCTCATGCCTGTAATCCCAGCACTTTGGGAAGCCAAGCCAGGTGGATCACCTGAGGTCAGGAGTTTGAGGCCAGCCCGGGCAACATGGTAAAACCCTGTCTCTACTAAAAATACAAAAAAAAAAAATTAGCCAGACGTGGTGGCAGGTGCCTGTAACCCTAATCCCAGCTACTCAGGAGGCTGAGGCAGGAGAATTGCTTGAACCCGGGAGGTGGAGGTTTCAGTGAGCTGAGATCGTGCCATTGCACTCCAGTCTGGACAACAAATGTGAAACTCTGTCTAAAAAAAAAAAAAAAAAAAATCCTGAATTTCCTCTGGGTTCCACATATTCTCTACTTCCTCTCTAAAATATGTAGAAGGAAACCTATACCTATGACTCCAGCCCACACCATGAGACCCTTTATTGACAGTTTATCTTACATCATAATGAGAACTAAATGGCCGCATGTTCATTGTTTCTTCCAATTTATTAATGATTTATCATGCTAACCCATTGGATCAAGAACTGTCAACCAGAAAACCCCGGACCTGAGTGAACAGAAAGAGAACTTTTCAATCTGCTCTGTAGGCATAATAAATAGTGATGGGCTCACCCCCCATGTCTCAGATACCACTATTCTCTTGATGGGAGTAACAATACCATACACCTTGGTGTTTTGGGGCCTCCGCCACATCTGGCAAGACAGTGATTTGACATTACAAGGGTTTGTGTGCTCACTTCACCTGCCTAGTAATGGGGTTTCTCCTGTCTGTAGGGATAGCTGCCTCTGTACACATGACAGCATCATGAACCTACTTTGCCTTACTTTTTTTTGCTATAATAAAGTTACTTTTTCCAATGATAAATTATGTAAGGGTTTCTTGACTTGAAAGCACTTGAAAAACTTTCAAGTAATTATTCTAGCAGAAACATGGCTGATAAGAAAGGCAAATGTACATATAGGAAAATAACCACCCCCGCCCCAATGTGTTGGGTTAGGTCCAATGTACTCACCTGATACCAGCTGTTAGTCTGATCTCAGATGTGTAGTACAATGTTAGGGTTTCAGGAAGGGTCATGGTTTTTGGCAAGTCAGATACTCAGACGTGCCATTAGCCTTGTGAGCCTCATCAAATGAAATTCAGATGCATAAATCTCCATGGCTTAGGTTCATGAGACTCCCTGGGAAAGGTGACTGACTGAAGTCCATGTGTTGGATCACCTTAATTATTAAGAGTTCCCTGCTAGGCAATGGCATTTAGATGAGTATTCACTTGGGTAGCATTTATTTTTGATCTTGGCCCATTTTGAAAGATCCAGTCACAGCTCTTCTAAACCAATTTTGTCCTTAAGTTTTGTTTCTTCTGAGACCTAATGACCTGTGCAAATTAATAATCAATGTCATTGCATTACCAGCCTCTCTTTGCAAAGTAGCCAATGATATACCCTTGTAGTTAACCCACTATTGTGATTTCTAGTCTTCCAGGGCATCCTTGACGATGGCAGGGGTGTGGCTTTGGTCCAGCACCCAATTTAGAACTCTGCCCAGCAGGCATCACTGTGAAATTTTAACATTTTGCCTAATTTTAACATTAGGCAAAATTACCTTTCTTCATATCCTTTACCCCTCCACTAAAAGATATTTTCAGGTGCACATACCCATTTGGTGAGTGTTAGAAATAAAGATTACAAAGGAAATCCCTGTAGCCAGAGCAGGTAACATATATAGTCCTGGACATCAGTTTTTTTCATGGGAGTAACTGGAATTATCTTAACAGATTTAATTTATACAATAATTTCATACGTATGCATGTGTTGCTTATATATATATATATAAACATATTTAAATAATCTTATCTACACATGAATATGTGTACTTAGTATTTATAGCTAACAAGTTATCAAATAAATATATATGGATTAATATGTATGTTATATACACTCAAATATGTGCATTTTTCATAAATGACACAAATTTTACTGTTTTTATAGATATATGATGCAATATATTTGATACAGTGACAACATTTTTAAGTTTTATCTTAGTATCTTTAAAAACAGATCAATAAATATTTATATTTTTGCATCAGAGAACCCCATCTCTAGTATCTGCTTCATGAATAACATATGCCAGGCTTTCAAAGGCTATAGTTTAGATTCTAATTCACTCAGTTAAAACAATTCCTGCTTGGAATGTGTGGCTTCCATTTTACTGTAAGAATTTCAATTACCCCATAACACAGACTCCTCAGGTAGACTAATCTCCTTTCTTTACTAAATTCGAAGAGACATTGCCATGAGAGGAAAGAGACTTAGGGTGGAGAGACACCTTCATGGCCCCCTCTTCCGTAATCTCCCAATAACCCTCAAAACTCAGGCTGAGTCTGAGAAGTGTTGTCACCAGATGGCTGCACAAAGAAGAGCAGGTGGGGCAGCCCAGCGTCACATGTCTGCTTTCCTGGGGGGGGTTTGTTATGGTTTGTAACACTGTGATAGGGTAATTTTTATACTGTTGACAGTAATAAGTTGCAACATCTTTAGGCTGCAGGATTCTGATGGTGAGAGTAAAATCTGTCCCAGATCCACTGCCACCGAACCGCGAAGGAGCCCCAGATTGCAAACTGGATGCAGCATAGATCAGGCCCTTAGGGGCCTTCCCTGGTTTCTGCTGATACCAGTCTAAATTACTACCAATGCTCTGACTCGCCCGGCAAGTGATGGTGACACTGTCTCCTTACAGATGCAGACAGTGTGGATGGAGACTGGGTGACTGGATGTCACTTCTGGTCCCTGAAATTGCAAACAGAAAAACAAATATCCACACAATTAATCATGTTATAAGAAGACTTCCCTGAATGGCCAGGCAGTACCTAGCACACTGGCTGAGTAAGAGGCTAGTAATTTCTTTTCTTAACTGGAAACCAGGATGGCAGAAGTCCCGGGAGCTGAATGAGGGTCTTCATGTCCATGCTGTGTCCAGACAAAAACTGACTCCTGCACGGGGTGTGACCAGCCAATTAATAAGTCTTCAGGAAGGGAGCTGTGCTCTGGGACATGCAAATCAGCAGAGGATGGGGAAGGCTGGGCACAGCTGCAAGGCTGGCTCATCTCAGTAACTCAGCACAGGGGCAGTGTCCCCAGGGTCCCAGATCAGAGCAGGGTAGCATCAACTTACCTGCAGATAATACATTTCTCTTTGGTGGCCATACTATTACAAAACGTATTTTTGGGACAATTTCCAAAATTTTAAACGAACCTAAGGACTACATTGAGTAATGCATTTTATAGTTGTATTGGCAGTATGTAGGAGACTATCCTTGTTTGCAGGGAATGCATAATAAAATCTTAGAAAGTAGAGCTCTTGGGTCTTCAAGTTACTGGCAAATGTATTTGGTGAGTGTAAAAATATTTTGTGTTGTGTTAACAATATTTCTGTCAGTGAGGAATTGTCTTTTTTAAAATGAAAATAAGACTTTATCAGAAGCATTTTTAACAATATTCAAAAATAGTTTGTCATAACTTTAAGCCATTGTTGTTACTGGTATAAGGACAAGGAATTGACTGCAGTTTCACAAAGATAATACCATGATTTCTCATGCATGTACCACGCACAGACCCTCCATTTTCCAGAGCTATCGGTCACTTTAATACCCAAGGATTAAATGGATAGCACCTTATTCTTGCCTTGGGGAGAATATTCTACCACCTTTTCTGTCACTGTGTAATATTTCTTACAGATCATCGCATAAAGGGCTGGCTAGTGATGCCAGATCTGATTAGTTCAACAAGATTCTCTGTTTCTTCATTGAACTATAGGAGCCTTGATTAGGATAAACTTGAAACCCTGTATCAATCCAGACTCTTATAATCAAATGTGTCCAAAGTAGGAAGACAAAGATCATATCCCCTGGGTAATGCTCCAAGCTGTGCTCCCTACCAGCATGTTCCTAGTGTCTCAGGTGCAGCTCCCCCGAAGCCTGGCTTTCTGAAGGGCAGGTGAAGGGGAGGACCTGGGGAAAGACAAAGTCAGTGAACTCTCTCTTCTGGTGGGGGTGGCTGCTGCTCGGTACATGTCCTTGCCTTGAACCATCAATGTCATTTGCTTCTTTTACTCTTTTGCAGTGAGTGGGGACATCACCCTGACCCAGATGTCAGCCTCACTGTCTCACAGCCAGGACACAGGGTCTCCATCCCTGGCCAAGTCATTGCTGATGTATACAGAGATATATCTGAAAATGGATAAAACTTGGAAACAAATTTGAACCTCTGTACCTCATACCTCTGCCTATGCTGAGGGCATCCCAACCTGATTCAGCAGCAGGGGAATTGGAACCAACTACATCAGCATCAGTGGGCTGGAGCCCGGGTACTCCAGGCAGTATTACTCATTCATGATCACGCATGGTCCCACCACAGTGGTGCAGTCTGTGCACAAACCTTCTGCTGCTTTTCCGGGGGCTTGGATTTCAAGAGAACTGGCCAGTAAACAGCCTACTAATATCCAGGTTCAAGACATAGGGCTCTAGATTGAAATACACATCTTTTTTTTCTGAATGTAGCCGTCTCTCTTGCTACCCTTGGCCTTTCCCCTTCACTGTACTTCTGCTGACTCCATGGTCATGCTGCTGTCTCTGAGCTGGGCAGACTCCATGGTCATGCTGCTGCTCTCTCTGAGATGGGCAGACTCCATGGTCATGCTGCTGCTCTTTCTGAGCTGGGGAAGGCAGCTCTGCCTGCATGCATGCCAGACCACAGTGTCTGGAATAGCATCCCCTAGGACAGCCCTCAATCGGTAAGGACAGGGGAGGTGTATACATACATGTGGCCATGTGGAAGGAACATATATAAGTTCTGACAGACCTGGGTTCCAATCTCAGTCCCTACTTCTGCTGACCATGTGACTTTGGGAAATCACCCCTGCACTCTGATGGGCAGTTTTCTTACCTGTAAAATGAAGTACTGTGGATATCAAGCAGTGTCTTGAGGGCTTCACCAGATCATGACCCATGAAGAGAGAAAGAGAGAGAGAGAGAGTACCCGGTGTCCATTTCATGCATCCTTGACTGTCTTAGAATGAAGACGTTATGTAAGATATTACTAGTCAGATGTCACTTTCAACTAAAAATTATCAATATTTATTCTAACTAATAGATCTCTCTCTCTCTATACAGTGAAGTTTCACGTAAATGTTTTCCCACCATATCCTTTCCCATCAATCTATTTATGTGTAGCAGTAGAAAGTTGAACAAGAAGACTGAAAACCACCAGAGCACGTTTCATCTGCACTTTCCCTGCACTTCATTCTTATTAGTGTCCTTGGGCTGCTGTAACACAGTTCCAAAAATCTGATGGCTTAAAACAGTTTACTCTCTCATACTTTTGTAGGCCAGAAATCTAGAATCAGTATCTCTGGGCCAAGATCATGGCCTTGGCGGCCAGGCTCCTTCAGAGGCTCCAGGAGGGAGTCTATTCTTGTCTCCCCCAGCTCCTAATGGCTGCATCTTTCCTTGACTGTGGCCATACCCCTCCAGTCTTTGTCTCTGTGGCCACATTGCCTTCTCTTCTGTCTGTGTTAAATCTCAATCTATCTCACTCTTAGGAGGATACTTGTGATTGCATTTAGGGTCCACTTGGTCAATCCAGGATAATCTCCCTGTTTCTAGATTCTTAATTTATACCTGCAAAGGTCTTTTTCCCATACCAGTTACATTAATTGGCTCCATGGAAAAGAACCTGATAATGTGGGGGTGATACTCAGTGCTAAACCATTACAGGACCCAGTTTCAGTGTCGGTACTGTACACACGTTACATTCTCTCTCTATGTCTTTCGCTCACTCTCTCCCCCTTCTTCCCTCCCTTTCTTATGATCACAAATCATTCCACTTCCCTAAGTGTATCCACTGCCACCTAGGTTCAGAGTTCAGAGAGGAACACACAGGAAGGTCTTGCTCGGGTTTGCATAGAGATCTGCCCAGTCCCCGCTATCATGTACAAGAAAGGACATAGCCACAGACAGCCCTCAGCCATCTGGGAAGAAGCTGTCTCTACAGAGGACAGTCATGAGCTATGACTCTCTCGACCTCTTATTGTCTTCAGAGGCTTTTGGCCCTCATGGAGGGTGTGGGTGGCCCCTGACTACAGGATTTGGTCTTCATGGAGGGTGTAGGTGGCCCCTGGCTACAGGATTCACCAGGACTTTCATCAGAATATCTGATTCACAGAAGGCAGTCAGTGATAGGGCCACACAGAGGGACTCTGCAGGGCCGGCTGCACAGAGCACTCTGGAACAGCCTGCCTCCTCATATTTCTTCCTGAACACACATATTTGGATCTCCTAATACCATTTTGCTAGTCCATTACTTGCTCTGAAGGTAATAGGTAGGATTAACTAAGACAGAATTTTTAATAGTTACAAATCAGAAGAAAAAAAGTAATTTTTTAAATTGCTAAGCTGATAAAGAAGAAGATAACATGACGGCAAAAAACAAAAACTCTAGACTGAGGGCTTTGGGTAAGAGCTTGAGACTCTCAGTAGTGGAGCACCTGGGCCATCGCCTTTCAGAAGAGAGGGACAATCAGGAAAGAAAGCGTGCAGTAGAGGCAAAAATCTTGCTTACTCAGACAAAGCCTCAGAAGAAAGGAGACACCTTCTTCCTGAGCACCAGCAATCAGAGAAATTCTCAATAAAAATAAATCATAATGAAAAATAAATAAATAATAATGAAAAAATCGAGAATAGTTATAAGCGCTGCATGCACTGCTCATTGCACCAAGTGCCTTGTAATGAACGAAGTGCAGACAATAATCATAGACCCCAAATGTGTCCCAAACCTGACCACTCCCCCGACTTCTACCCCACCACTCCACCCCAATGCAAACCTCCATTATCTTCCACCTGCAAGATAATCCCTCAAATATTACCCAACTTCTTCTTTGCTCCTTGTTCCTTGATAAGTGGTCCCCACTCTCAGGGTCCTAAGGCTGTGGCCACAGGTCTGAGTTCTAAGGTCTTTCTTCTCACACCCACAGCCTTTCTCACTCTGGCCTCCTCCATTTTGAGAATCCAGACCCAATGTCCTGCCACCCTCCCTGGAATCAGGCACTAATTGCCAGTAGCTTTTCTTTGTAAACCCTCCAAATGCAACCTCTAACAGGAACCTGGCTGGAGCAGTCAGCATCTTCCTGTTACGGGCAGTTAGACAGGCATGAGATGGGCAGGAGAGGTCTCTTTCCCCACCCACTAGGAATGTGGGGTGATGGTTCAGCAATGATCACATTGCCTCTCTAAAAGTGATAAGTTGGCAGCTGGCACTAGAGGGAGGCCATTTCCTGATGGTCCACACCTTTTGCACTAAGGTGTTAATTGAATGCAAGCACCAGGGAAATGCAACTTCCCAGGCATGTTAAAATAAATAATACAATAAATATAAATACAAAAATAAAAATAAAATGTTTATATTTATAAATAAATTTATATTTTGTATTCACATTTATACTTTATGTATATTTATATATTTGTATATTTATATGTATGTATTCATATTTATATTTATGTATAAATATAATTTATATATACATAAATTTATATTTATACATAAATATAAATACAAAACAGTGAAGTATGACCTTCCAGGGGCACACCACCAGAAAAGGGAAGGAAGCCTCAGATAGGCATGTGTACAACTTTCTGAACACACTGAGCATGCTCACCTCCCAAGGGTAAGAAGGGCACTGCGCATGCGGGCAGCCCACCCTAAGAGAAGAATCATGGGAAAGAGACCTGCCTATAAAGTACTAGAATCAAGGTTAAACACCGGACTTCTTCTTCAAGTCGCCCACTTTGGTCTCTTTCAAGTGTACTTTCCTTTCTCCCCTGTTCTAAAGCTTTTCAATAAACTTTCACTTCTGCTCTGAAATTTACCTTGGTCTCTTTTTCTCCCTTATGCCCCTCAGTCGCATTCTTTCTTCTGAGGAGGCAAGAATTGAGGTTGCCGCAGGCCAAGGATTGAGGTTGCTGCAGACTCATACGGATTTGCCACTAGCAACTAGAATATCTTTAACCAGTAACATTCCCAGCAAAAAGTGCTAAGAAGAAAGAGAAACCTGCAAACACACTTTGTTGTTAATGAAATGCATAAAATCCCCTGTTTCTATGTCTTCTCCAACTATTTTTGTTTCTTAACCACAATTATATATGTATGATCTTGGAGCAGGGAGGAATTAAGAACAGGCATTTATTTCATGCTTAGGATATAAAAAGAGGAATGGAGAGGGAAAGACAGCAGAATTTATAAGTTCTTCAAAGTGATTTGAGTTTTTCTAGCCATGGGCATAGAATGACCAAGATCTCAGGGGAGCACTGCACTTACAATTCCTGCCCTTCACGCCTCAGACTCCCATGAACACACACACACATAAAAATGCCTGTCTTCTCCTAAAGAGCAAATTTAAGGCTCTGTTTCTTCCCTTGAGTACCTTTTCTCATAAATGAAATAAAATAAATGAAAGTAACTTTAGAAGCAATGGAAAGAAACAATAGCAAAAGCTTAAGCAAAGATCAGAAGTCTGAAGGTTGGAGTATTAGGGTTGGTGCAGCAGCTTGGGGGCAGCATGAGGAAACCAGGTTCACCTTCCCCACATTGGATTTTCAGTCTTGGACTCAAGTCCTCATGATCTCCAGAGGACTGCAACAGCTCTAAGCTAAGGACATTAGTGTCATATCCACTAAAAACTCTTCCAGGAAAAAATGTGGGGCAAAATTCTTCACCTTCCTTCTATTTATGAGGAATCAAATTCTCCCCAGAAGCCCTGCCCACCTACTCCCCTACCATCTCATGGTGGAGGTGACCACACATGCTCTTAATCCTCACTCCAGCCCTAAATTGAGAGAGGTTCACTGTCCTCACCAGGCATGGCAGAAAGGAGCTGGTGCCCTCTACACCAAAGGAGAAGGGGGATGGCTGCTCAGAGAGTGTCAAGAGCTTGGCAACATTTAAACCTCACTATGCTTCTAAATTAAGTTGTGTGGGGAGGAGAGATCTCAAGAGCCTCTTGGTCTGGTGGAGTTGGAACAAGCCAGGCCCTGAGGATGACAGTGAAGTCAAATTTTTAATATTCTAGATGGCAATGTTAGCTTCAGCAGTTTTGGAAATGTGGCTTATGCAATTAAGATCAGGACAGACTTTCAGGTACTGGAATAAAAGAGAAGAGATTAGAAATAAAGTCCTCAAACCAGGGCTAAGGTCAGGCCTGCACTGACCGAGAGCTGCTGGGCTCTGGCCCTGGGCTGTGAAAGAAACAGCTGCTTTCTTGAACTATGAGGCTGAGGACCTGGGAGGAACCACAGGCCCTGTCCATGGGGCTGCCTGGCAAAGGATTCAAGAAAGAAAGCTGCTCACACACTCATGGGCGCGGCACCAAGCCCGAGCCTGGGGCCATGGTGAAAGCCTCAGAAACCAGGACCTTAGAGCTGGGCCTGGGCTCCTGGAGTAGGCTGCTCTCAGCTCTGTTCTCATTGTATATAAGCAGTCAGGACCTTCTTGGAAGCAAAGGGAGAGGGTGAGCAAATGTCCCCAGGGCTCTTGCTGAGCCAGATTCTGTTCTGATGACAAAGAAATAGAGCACATGCTCAACAAATAATATATGCATACATATTATGTAAACTTTATTAAATACATATAATATTTTGAATATTAATTATATATTGAGATAGATGTATACGCTATGTTTCTACATTTCACATTAAAATAATATGTACAATTGTATAGAAATTGATATACTTTTGTTGAAATTGTATCACCTGGCCCTGCAGGTGACAGAAAGATAAACAAACTATAACTTCATTATCAAGGAAATGTTCATGTTTAATACAAACTATCTGAAGCCGAAGTCTGAGTTCTTCTTCCTCATCAGAGAGTCAGAAAAGCAGGAGGAAGAGGGGCAAAGCTGGGCACCCATGTCCATGAGGGCCTCCTGAGGCTGATCCTGCTCAGAGAGGGTGGGGACAGTGGATGGGCCTTCTTGCACTGCTACACCAAAATACCCTGGGCTGGGTAGATTAAACCAGAGAAATTTATTCTCATAGTTCACAAGCCTGGAAAGTCCAAGATCAAGTTCCAGCAAGGTTCACTTTCTGGTTAGAACCTTCTTCCTAGTTTACAGGTAGTCACCTTCTCACCATGTCTTCTCATGGCCTTTCCATAGGGAAGCAGTGAGTTAGAGAAATAAAGGAAAAGAGAAGAGTTCTCTGGTTTCTGTCCTTATAAGGACACTAATCCTATTGGATCAGAGCCCCACCCTTATGACTTCATTTAACCGTAATTACCCCTTTATAACCCCAATTATCTCCTACATCCACATAGGGGAATAGGGCCAGGCTTCCAGTCTCAGAGCACAGATGGCTTTTTCCCACCATTCAGCACAGTGGCAGCTCCTCCCAGGTGCCCCAGGTAACATGTGGGACATTATTCTAGCCTTATGGGGTCCCTGTTAACAATGGGACACTATCACTCTTGCTTTTCTAGTATTTCTAAGATAATGGTACTCTCTTTTTTGTGGGGTTTGTTTGCAATCTAGAGGCAGGTTTGACATAGCAACTTACAGGATTTTTAAATTTTGTGATAGTAAAAATAAATAAATAAATAAATTTATCATAAATAATAAATTGACTTAATACATTGAATCTGTAAAAAAAAGATAAGGCCAATTGAAAAGCTTAAAAAGAGTCTGAGGGGTTTAAAAAGGCAAATTCCTTTCAATGAGAGTTAGAGAACGGATGACCGATTTTTTTTAATAGATGACGTTTCAGCAGTAATTATCAAATGGTAAACAACAACTTGAAAAAAGGTCTCACAAATATAATTTCATAGTCAAAAAACATTTCTGAGAATCATATAAATACATATTCAGATTAAAACAGACAGAAAAATGTGACCTTATCGGTAGATCTACTCAATGGAAAATTCCTCAAATATGTGCTTGAGGCAAAAGGAATATTTATCATTGATGGAAGTTCAAGTTTTCTAATAAACTCCAACATCCTTAGTCTCCGTCCTACTGACTTTCAGTGTAAACTCAGTACCTGACCCATTACCCCTGAACCTGTCTGAGAATTCGGAGGCTTGGTTGGAAACCTCATAAATCAGGAGCTGTGGAGACTGGCCTGGCTTCTGCAGGTACCAATACAAATAGGTGTTTCCATTATTATACAGGAGGCTCTAACTAGACCTGCAGGAGACAAAGGCTGGCTTTCCATTATGAACAACTTTCATGATTTCTTTTATGATATTGATTTATAGTTACATTTTTCAAGTTTTGATTCATGTCATGAAAGTAGACTTTCTAAAATAAACCCATTATTTACCAGCCAGAAGGGAACTCTTTTTTTTTTTCAAGATCTTAATCAGAGTACTGTTTATTGTTCCCTGGAGGTGAACCTTGATTATTCATAAGACAAAAATATGAATTCTTTTCCCTGGGCATAGACCATGTGACTCTATCATGTTGGAATAAATGATACTGCTCTGATGAGTAGAGGACACCAGGTTCTTTGTCTCGAGTCAAATTAGAAAAAATGACACTGACACACTTAGAATAGTTTTAAGGAGCAGGGAGTTTAATAGGCAAGAAAGAAGGGGGAAGAAAGAAGGATGAAGCTCCCCTGTACAAAGACAGAGGGAGGGGGGCTCCAAAGCCGAGGGACGAACCACTCTTTCAGGTAATATCAGCCAGCTATATTTGATGTCTGGAGGAGGCGGTGTCTGATTTGCACAGGGCTCAGGGTATTGGTTTGACCAGACATGTCATTCACGGTAGCCCTCGAAAGAACTGGCCCTCCCACCCTAGCCTTTTAATATGCAAATACAGGGCGCCATGATGTTCCACACACGTGGGGATATGTAGGGGCAACCATGCTGCCAGGCGCATGTTGGGGCAAGGGCAAGAGGACAACGGTGGAAATCACCATGTTGGGTGCATGTTGGATGGACCCAGTTTCTAACGGCTTGCATTTGCATATAAAAGGTTGCCTGCCCGGGGCTAAGACCCAGGGCTTTTATGCTAGACAACAGCTGTGAAAAGTCTCCCAAGGATCCCTTTTTTCCTCTCTATCTGCCTAAAATAATTTCTTAATAACTCCTACCTCATAAACACGTGAAGCTGTGGAGCCCACAGACTCACCTCCCACCCAGTTCTCCTTGCCCTGGCACATACATCCAGCTTCTGTGAAGAACTGGATGTGGCTAGAGACTTGGGGTCCCACGGACAAGAGTTGAGATGCAACACGGCAAGCTTTGAATAGGGGGCTGGTCAATTGTAAGCAGATGCCATAGAAAATCAGGAAGGTCCTCCAGGCAGAGCATCAACAGCCCCGAACATGGGCTTCCCAGACATGTCTGAGGACCACATGATTGGCAATTATAGCTTCTGCACCAGATGCTCTCTGGATTCTTGGGGAGATCCAGAGAATCGTTTTCTAATTATTTGCATCTTTGAGTACCATGCTCCCAAGCCTCCCAGAGGCTGTAGTTTAGACTCTCATTGCGTGTATTTAGAAAAAAAAAAATAGACTTGGAATTCCAAGAGTAGGTTTTCCTTTGTGGTATTGATTCCAACTCACACCATAGCCAAGACTCAGGTGTAATCATCTCTTTTCTTAATGAAATCAGGAACAGTATTGCCATGTTTGTGCTGCAGGGGATGAGAAGGAAAAACAGTTAAGGTATAGAGGAGTTGTAATCGCCCAAGGGGTTCACCTTGCCTGCTGCTTAGACAGAGTCGATTTATCAAGACACGGCAATAGCAGTAGTGAAAGAGTAATTCACACAGAGCTGGCTGTGTAATATCTTCCACCGTCATAATTTTCTCAGTTATGATTTTTGCAAAGGCAGTTTCAGAGTCTTCATGGCCCCTTCCATCAAAACTTTTCAGTGACTTTCAAAGCTTGACTGGAATATGAGAAACCCTCTGAGCAGCTGGAGGCAGTAGGAGGAGTATCTGGGGCAGGCCAGCCCCATACATCTGCTTCCTTGGGGGGTTTATGTTATGCCTTGTAACACTGTGGGAGGGGCATTGTAAGTCCGTTGACCGTAATAAGTTGCAACATCTTCAGGCTGCAGGCTGCTGATAGTGAGAGTGAAATCTGTCCCAGATCCACTGCCACTGAACCGAGATGGGACTCCAGATTGCAAATTGGATGCACTATAGATCAGGAGCTTAGGAACTTTCCCTGGTTTCTGCCGATACCAATTTAAATAACTGCTAATGCCCTGACTCACCCGGCAAGTGATGGTGACTCTGTCTCCTACAGATGCAGACAGGGAGGATGGAGACTGGGTCAACTGGATGTCACATCTGGCACCTGAGATTGGAAATATAAAAACAAACATCCATTCAATCCATCATGTTATAAGAAGACCTCCCTGAAGAGCCAGGCTATACTGAGCGCACCAGCTGAGTAAATTCCTAGTGTTCTCCTTCCTTACCTGGGACCCAGAGCAGTAGGAGCCCCAGGAGCTGAGCGGGGACCCTCATGTCCATGCTGTGTCCTGACTGGGACTGACTGCTGCACGGGGTGTGACCAGCCTGTTAAGAAGACTTCAGGGCAGGGGGCTGTGCTCTGGGAACATGCAAATCAGCAGGGGTTGGGGCAGGCTGGGCACAGCTGCGGGGCTGGCTCATCTCTGAGCCAGTCCCTCGTGTCCCCAGTGTCCCAAGTCAGAGGAGGGTAGCACAGATTTGTCTGTAAGAACATGTTTCCTCTTGGGGCCGTTTTGTAACAAAGAACTTTTTTTTTTAATAATTGTTAATATTTGAAATACTCTTGAGTACTCGATGAAGTAATGTTTTCTATTTGTATATGGGGATTAATTAAGGTTTTTTTTTTTTGAGACAGAGTCTCGTTCTGTCACCTAGGCTGGAGTGCAGTGGCACGATCTCACCTCACTGCAACCTCCACCTGCCAGGTACCATCGATTTCTCCTGCCTCAGCCTCCAGGGTAGGTGGGACTACAGGTACGCACCACCATGCCAGGCTAATTTTGTATTTTTAGTAGTAGAAATGGGGTTTCACCATGTTGGCCAAGCTGGTCTCAAACTCCTAACCTCAGGTGACCCCCTCGCCTCAGCCTCCCAAAGTGCTGGGATTACAGGCATGAGCCACCACGTCCAGCCAGGGGAATATTTTTATTTGTAGGAAACTCAGTAAAGTTTTAGAGGGTGGGAACATCAAGTCTTGAATATACTCTGCAAAGGAGAGGGTACTTTGTTCTATACTTATAACATTTCTGTGAGAGTGAAATGGTTCCTTCTTAAAAAAAAGAGACAATTTTACAAGATAATGCTAAATATATTTGAAAGTATTTTGTAATGACCTTAAGCCATTCTTACATGACTGTATGGTCACGCAATTCACTACAGATGCATAAAAATGAAACCACAAGTCCTCAAGGCCGGTATCACTCACAGATTCACCATTATTTAAACCTGTAAGCCACCTCAATACCCAGAGATTATATAAGCTGCATCTTATTTTTGGTTTGGTGATCTCTATATTTTACCCTCTCTTCTGCCATTGAGTATTATTTCCCCGGGGTTCTCAGCATGAAGAGCTGACTAGTGATGCCAGATCTGATTGACTTAAATAACTAGTTTCTTCCTGCATTTATCAGAGTCTGGATTAGGATAAACTTGAAATTATCCAGGGTTCAGTTGTCTCCACAAGTAGGAAGACCAAGATTGCATCCCCTGAGTAATGCTGAACTCCCCACCAGCATGTTCCTGGGTGCTCAGGTACAGCTCCTCTGAATCCTGGATTTCTGGAGAGCAGGTGATGGAGAGACTTTGGAAAAGATCAGGACAGTAAGTCCTCCCTACCAGTGAGGGCAGCTGCTGCTCAGTGCAT
Source organism: Homo sapiens (assembly GCF_000001405.40). Lineage (NCBI taxonomy): Eukaryota > Metazoa > Chordata > Mammalia > Primates > Hominidae > Homo > Homo sapiens. The sequence goes on from NW_012132915.1 coordinate 407,928, forward strand.
GTCCCTGCCTTGCACTATGAATGCCACTTTCCTCTTTTACTTTTTAGCAGTGAGTGGGAACATCATTCTGATCCACATACCAGCCTCCTGTCTCACATCCAGAACAGAGTCTCCACCTCTTATCAAGCAAATTTCCATACATATGGAGAAATTAATTGGATCCTAATAAAACTGGTAATGGATTTGCACCCAATCATATCTCACATCTCTAACAGGGCCCAAGACATCTCAGCCTGCTTCAGCAGCAGCATTCAACTACATCAGTGTCTGTGGGCTGTAGCCTGGGTTCTGGAAAGTATTACTCATGCCTGACTAGGAGTGGTCAAATCACTGTGGTGTAAGCTCTGCACACACCCTCCTTCTGTCTATTCAGGGACCTGAATGTTAAGGGAACTTGCTTTTGTAGAGGGAAAAGGGGAAAGAGAAAAGCAAACCTTCTAAAGGTTTGCTGAAAATGAATAAACAAAAGACAAATTAATAGGAAAAAAAGGCAGACAAATGTATTTAACATGCGGGGTGGGGGTGTGGGGATAACACACGAGAGGGATTACCCAAATAACCCAGTGAGGTCCAGGTGCTTCTACATCCTTTATAGGGGAGAGGGAAGTAGAGAGTATAGGCAACTAAGGGAGAGTAAATAACCTAAAATAAAAGAAAAGGGTCCTGAAAAGGATAGGTAGTAGCCTGTCTGGATAAAGTCAACATCCAATCTTTTCTGGATTTAACTTCTAGTGCATGTTAATATTCCCTGGTAGATAAACATTCCCAGGGAGGGTTTTCATGACAATTGGCTTCCTTCTGGAGAAACTGCCCTTAGACAGGTAAGGGAGATTTAGGAAAAGCCCCTTTATATATTTGTTGTTTTCTAAACACCTTCAGTTTGAAGCAATCACAATACCAATGTAGCATATCTTGAGATGTTACTTCCCAGATTCCTTCATTTGCAACTGACCTGCCAGGAAACACCATTCCAGAAGGTTGCAGCTCCAGGTGGAAAGTACAGGTGCTTTTTTCTAAACGGTTGGAGCAGTCCCTGTCTGCACTGAGGACTTTCCCTTTCACCGTACTTCTGCTGATTCCCCATGGCCATCTCTGCCCTCTCTGAGAAAGGCAGCTCCGCCTACACGCATGGCAGACCACAGGGCTTGGAATGAGTCTTTCCTCAGACAGTGCTATGGTTTCACTGTATCCCCTCAATTTCATCCACTGTTAATTTAATCCATAATGCAACAGAATTGAGAGGTGGGGCCTAATGAGAAGTGTTTAAATACTGAAGGTTCTGCCCTTATGAATAGATTAATGCTACTATAAAAAGGGCTTTTATTATGGAACCAAACTGGATTCAGCTTGCTCAGTGCAGTAAAACCAGTTATCCAAACTGAGTTTGCAGTAGGAGAAAAAAGTCATTTATTTGCAGGACGTCAAGCAAAGAGGACCAGACAGCTAATGCTTAAATCTTGATCTCTCTAATGGCTTACAAATAATGGCTTTTAAAAGCCCAGGTAAGTTTCAGGGAATCAAAAGTTACAGGCAAAATTGTAAATCAATACATGGAGGTTACACATTGGCTTTGGCCTAAGAGGGCAGGATATCATGAAGCAGCAGAATATCTTACAGGTCATGAGTAGATTGAAAAATTTTCTGATGTGCAATTGATTAAGGAAGAAAAGCTTTGTTTAAAAATTGGGGTCAGCACAAAGGAATGTTGGCTCTGGCCTGTGGGTGTGACTTTCTCCAGGCCCCTCAGGTGGAAATTCAGAACAAAGAACCATGGTCAAATTTCAGTCCCCTGTTTCCCCTTATGTGAAGTCTATGTGCTGGCAGATCCATTTGTTGGAGATCTGGGTTTCTGAAAAACAACTCAGAGACATATGCTGAGATGTTCTCTTTAGTTTCTGTAGAGGAATAAAACATACTGTGATTTTTAGCTTCTTTGACTATTGTTTTAGTCTATTATCGTCTCCTTGCTTCTCATGTTGCTTGTTTACTTCTCAAGGCTTAGCTGGACACCTAACATTTCCCTTGAAAAGACCCAAGATTTTCCTTTATTTCCATGTCTGGGGAAGCTTCAAAGACCCCTAAGAAGGGGTCAGATCCCTGAACTATCTCAATTATGAGAGCGAGCTCCCAGTCTCTCACTTCTGCTATTGTCAGGCCAGGGCATGGCCTTCCTTCTCTCTGAAGGACTCAGCATTCAAATTCCATCTTGAAAGCACAGAAATTGGATCCCAAGCTGCTAGTTACTCAATCTTTGACTTCCCATCCTCCAGAAATGTGACAGAATGTTCTTTACTGATTACCCAGTCTCAGGTATTCTGTTATAGCAGCACAAAACAGACTTAGACAGACAGCCCTCAATTGGTGATGACAGAAGGACATGTATACATACCCCAGCTCCCTCCCCTCTCAGCTAGAATAGCCCAGGGACATTTTCCCCGTGTTTCCAAATGGGGTTGAGCTTCAGTTATCCTAAGAGTTAGGTGGCTTGTTGAGGTGACTTTAACCTTCAACCTCTGTTCTCTGCCTCACTTTCCTCCTTCCCTCCCATTGTAAATATGCTGCATGCATAGAAATACTTCTTGTAGGTGGACACAACCCAACACAGTGGACAAATCCCAGTTCTTGGGAGGGCTACATCTCTTGTCTCTCCTTTTTTTTTGAGACTGAGTCTTGTTTTGTTGCCCAGGCTGGAGTGCAATGGCACAATCTTGGCTCATTGCAACCTTTGGCTCCCAGGTTCAAGTGGTTCTCCTGCCTCAGCCTCCCAAGTAGCTGGGATCACAGGTGCCTGCTATCACGCCCGGCTAATTTTTGTATTTTTAGTAGTGATGGGGTTTCACCATGTTGGCCAGGCTGGTCTCGAACCCCTGACCTTAGGTGAACTGCCTGTCTCAGCTTCCCAAAGTGCTAGGATCACAGGCGTGACCCACTGCACCTGGCCTCTTGTCTTAATTCTTATTATTTCTCCTTTTTTGATGCATACAAAAATCAGAAAACACTAAATTGCTTTTTGCCCATCTATCTTAAATTTGATTTATGCAGTAATCCCTTTCTTCTGACTCACAAAATAAAAGAAGCTTCTTAAAATAGCAGCACACAGGCCGAGTGAGGTAGCTCACGCCTGTAATCCCAGCACTTTGTGAGGCCGAGGTGGGTGGATCACCTGAGGTCGGGAGTTTGAGACCAGCCAGGCAAACATGGTGAAACCCCGTCTCTACTAAAAAACAAAGATTAGCGGGGAATGGTGGCAGGCACCTGTAATCCTAGCTACTCGGGAGGCTGAGGCACGAGAATTGCTTGGACCCGGGAGGCGGAGGTTTCAGTGAGCCAAGATCGCACCACTGCACTCCAGCCTGGGAAACAGAGAGAGAGACTTTGTCTCAGTAAAAAAAAAAAAATAGCAGCACACCATGAGGTCCACATTAGAGGCAGTGGAATAACTAACCCCTACTCTTAAAACCCACAGGTCAGAGAGTCTCCAAATCACAAATTATTTCCTGCTTCCTTGCTTCATAAAACAGCCTTGTGAATTTTCATTTGACTTTAGGGGTGGGCAGTTGTGGGAATAATGGGAGTTGTTTTGGGGATAAATAAGGACCCCCCACCCTAATTATATTTATGTCCTAATATTTGGAATCTATGAATGTTACCTTATATGTCAAGAGGAACTCGGCAGATGTGATTCAGTTAAGAAATTTGACATGAGGAGAGTATCCTAGATTGCCTGTCTCAAACCAGTGTAATCACAAGGTCCTTATAATAGAAAATACAGGAGGGTCACAATCAGAGAGGAGCCCGGACAATGGAGGGGAATGCTGTTGTGGCAGAATGGGGCCAAGAAGCAAGGAATCTGAGAGATCTTGAAGATGAAAACTTAGTATCCAATTCTCTTCCTTGGAGCCTCCAGAAATAATACAGCCCTGCTCACTCTTTGATTTTAGTTCAGTGAGACTTCTGACTTTCAGAACTGTAAGATAATACATTTGTGTTGTATGAAGCCAGTGAGGTCATACTAATTTGTTCCAACAGCAATAGGATATTAATGCAAGAGGAAGAGATGGCTTTTATCTCCTCAGTGCATGGCTGTTCTTGTTCTCCCAAATATCTTCACCTTGTAATAATTTCCCGTCAATTTTGAAAAGACAGAGAACATATTATTTTGAGAGGAGGTAGCACCAGAATTCCTCTAAGGCAGAAAATGTCTTGGGTCAGATCCCTTGATTGGCTCTGGAACAATCTGGGTATCTGAGAGCCTAGAGATCAGCTGTCATAGCACGTGAGAGGAGGGGAGATTGTTTTTTGGTTTGTTTTTATATTAGGAGGGCAAATTAGACTTGCAGAACACATTCTGAGAGGGACAGACTGAGCCAGGGAAATTCGAAGAGAAAGAGGAGATGTAGAAGGGGCCAGAGAAAAGAAAGATGTGTCCTTCCTCACAAGTCCAAAATAAAGTCATTTGCAACTCACAAAGACATTGACAGAGTTGTGTTTTCTAGGGAAAACTGCAGATGGGGCTAGTTTACGATTAAGGTCAGCATGGTGTAAGACAGAGAGAGCAGGAAGCTGTGGAGTCCACACTGTCCCTACGGTGTCTTCTCCCTTATTATAGACTGTGGGCTCAACTATGGGATGAAAGTGGCTGCATGAAAGAAATATAATAAAGCCACACAGACTTGGGTTCAAATTCCAGCCCACATGTGCTGATCATGTGATTTTGCATAAACCATCCATGAGCTCTGATCATTGGTTTCTTCATCTGTGAAATGGAACACTGTGTATATCAAGGGGTCTCCTGAGGACTTAATCAGATGATGGGCCTTGAAGTATGTGTGTGTGTGTGTGTAAATATATATATATATATATATATATATATATGATCAATTGTCATCCTGTTTATCTTTCTAATATATATATATCCAGTCCTCTTTTTATGTACCCTTGACCATGCTGGAATAAAAAGGCTATGTAAGATATTACTAGCCAGACATCACTTTCAATTCAAATTCTTCAATATTTATTCTACAACAAGCAAGTGCATCACTAAGGGCAGTGGGGTTTCATGTGCATAGCTTCCACTGTAAACAATTCTACCTACTCTTTATGTGTGGTATTAGAAAGACAAACAAGATGACAATTGATCATAACACTTTTAGTCTGAGTTGTCTCTGAGCTGCATTTGTGTTAGTGTCTCATTCTTTGGCTCCTAAGGTTGTGACCACAGTTCTGAGTTCTAATTCTTTTCTTCCCACATGCACAGCCTTTCTCAGAATTCACTCTGGCCTCCCCATGCTGGGAATCCAGACTCACCCTCCTGCTACACTCCCCAGAATCCAGCACTAACTGCCTGGAAGCTTTTCTTTGTAAGCCCTCCAAACGCAACCTCTGATAGATACCTGGTTGGAGGAGTTAGCATCTTCCCATCAAAAACCACTGAGAAGAAGGAGAAAACTGCTAGCATGATGTTGCTGTTGAGGAGATGTGTACAGTCCACAGATTTTATGTCTTCTTCAAGTGTTCTTGTCTCTTTCTTGACCACTATTTTAATTTCATGATCATAAAGGAGGGAGGAATTAGGGACAACAAAAAGATGTTCATCCTTAAGATATAAAACATGAAACTGAGACAGGAAGAGAGCAGAAATTATGAACTCTTTGCAGTGGTTTGGGTTTCCTTAGCTATAAATACAGCAGAGCCAAGATGTCAGGAAAGGACATCACTTATTCTGGTTCTTGCTTTTACTGCCTTTGACACCCACAAACACACACATACACACGCATGATAATGCATTTCTTCTCCTAAGGGGCAGGTCTATGGCCAACGAGGCTCTTTTTCTTCAGTATCATTTAAGGATAAGCGACAATAATTTTAGAAACAAGTGAAAGAATAACAATGGCTTAAGCAATGAGAAGAGATCTGAAGTTTGGCACATTCAGGGTTAATACAGCAGCTTGGTGACAGGAGAAAGGCCCCAGATTCTTTCTACATTACTGCTTGGTAAACTTGACCACATTGGTTTTTCTGTCTTGGGCTCAACATCTCATGGTCTCAAGAAGGCTGCAGAGACTGTAAGCTTCATGTCCTCTGGTAACTGCCCAAAGAGGAAATGAAGGGCAAAGCTCTTCATCACCCCTCTTTTTATGAGAGATCACCATTTTCTCCAGAAGTCCTGCCCCTCCTTCACACCCATGACATCTCATTGTGGAGCTGATCACATGTCCACCTAAACCTTGCTCCTTTCCTGGGCTGGGAGCGGCTCAGTGTCGTTGTCATGCACAGCAGGACAGAGACAGTGCCCTATACACTGAAAGAGGAGAGGGTGGCTGCTCTGTAGGTGACAAAATTTTAAATTCCACTGTGCTTTTAAGGAAAGTTGTATGAGGAGGAGAAAAGCTAGGCGCATCTTCATACTGCAACATTCGAAGAAGCCGGGCCCTGAGGATGAAAACGAAGTCAAATTTTAAATTTCTCACATGACCTTGTTAGTTTCAGCAATTGTGGAAATGTAGCCTATGCATTTATGTAAGTCAAGGACATACTTTCAGTTACCAGAATACTTGTAGAGACATTTATAATAAGATCCTTAAATCAGGGCTAAGGTCAGACTTGCACTGTCTGAAAGCTGCTGGGCTCTGGCCCTGGGCTGTGGAGGAAGCAGCTGCTCTACTGAGACAAGGGGCTGAGGACCTGGGAACCAAAGGCGCTGCCCACAGGTCTGCCTCACAGGGGCTTCAGGGAAGGAAATTGCTCACACACTCATGGGCACTGCTTCAAGCCCAGAGCCTGCCACCAGGAGGAAAGTCTCAGAGACAAGGGCCTTGGGGCTGGGCCCAAGCTCCTGGGGTGGGCTGCTCTCAGCTCTGTTCTCACTGGCTCTCAATGACCAGGACTGTGCTGGAGCCAAAGAGGTCAGCAAATGTCCGCAGAGTCCTGACTGAGCCTGATTCTGTTATAGTTAGAAAAAAAAAGGAGCACGTGCTAAATAAACATAAAATTATGTGTATATGTATATATGCGTTTGTAACAAACTTTGTATATTAAATATGTATAATATTATAGATGTAAATTGCAGTGATATCTTTGTATCTACTATGCATCTATATTACGAATAAATATTGTGAAAGGAAAATATCTTGGGCTCCCCAAATCACTAAGCTAAAGGGAAAATTCTAGCTGGGAACTGAATAGGGCAAATCTGCCTCCCATTGTTTTCAAAGTCAGCCCTCTGGTCCCTGAGATAAATGCATATCTAATTACCTGTTCTGGAAAGGCTAATCAGAAACTTAAAGGAAGGCAAGTTTTTCTCTCACCTACCTGGGACTTGAAAGCCCCTCCCTGCTTCCAGTTGCCCTGCTTTTCGCTTGGAGTTGTCCTGCCTTTCCAGACCAAACCAATGTTCATTTTATATATGTTGATTGATGTCTCATGTCTCACTGAAATGTTTAAAACCAAGCTACGCTCTGACCACCTTGGCCACATGCCTGCAGGACCTCTTGAGGCTGTGTCACAGGAACGTGTCCTAAACTTTGGCAAAATAAACTTTCTAAATTACCTTATACCTGTCTCAAATGTTCTGGGTTCACAATGTGATATGTACATTTGTATAAATAGGCATAGTTGTTCCTGCAGTTTGATGTAATTCTAATCAGAAAGCAAAAAGGCTAGTTACCTGATGGTGAAGGAAACATTTGTATTTAGTGCAACCAAACTGAGGATGAAGCCTGAGTCCTCCCTCCTCACCAGAGTCTGACAGCAGCAGAAGAGGAGGAAAGCTGTGTCTCCATGTCCACGAGGGCCTCCTGAGGCTGATCCTGCTCAGAGAGGGTTGGGACGGTGGGTGAATCTGCTGGCACTGCCACGCCAAAATCCCAAAGCCTGGATGGCTTAAGCAATAGAAATTTATATTCACATTTCTGGTGGCTGGAAGTCTAAGATCAAGGTCCAACCAGGTACACATTCTGTTAAGAACTTTCTTCCTGGTTCATAGACAGCCATGGAGAAAAAGGGATGGGGGTTGGGAAGAGAGAGGGAGAGACAGGGAGGAAAGGAAGAGGAGAGCTCTGGTTGCTATTCGGATAAGAGCACTAATTCTATTGCAAGGGATCTCATGCTTAGGACCTCCTTTAACCCCATCTACCTCGATCATCTCTCGCAGCTACACTGGGGGTCAGGGCCCAGCTTCCAGTCTCAGCGCACAGAGCACAGAGCAGATTTTCCCCACCATTTAGCACCCTGGCAGCTCCTCCCAGGTGCTCCAGGTCACACATGAGACCCTGTTCCAGCCAAAGGGCTCCCTGTTGACAGTGAGACACCATCATCCTTACATTCCCAGTATTTCTTAGTTCATGGCATTCTCTTTTTATACTGTGGAATTTGTTTGCCATCTAGGGGCAGGTGTTTGACATAGCAATACACACGATTTTTTATTTTGTAATAGGGAAAACTAATTCATTAATTTTGCATAAATAATAAATTAAACTGAATAAATTACATGTTGAAAAAGCCAAAGGCCAATTGAAGAGCTTAAAAAGAGCCTGAAGAGACGAAAAAGCCAGATTCCTTTCAGAGGAGGTGTGTTAGTCACAGATGAAAGTCTTTCATTTGCAGATGACTTTTTAGCAACAATTACCAACAGTAAATGACAACTTCTATAGGCTGCCACAATATGATTATATATTCAAAAATTATTTCCAAATATTGTGTAAATATATTTTCAAATTAAAACGAACAAAAATGCAAGTTTATCAGGAGATTCACACAGTAAAAAATTGCACAAATGAGTCCTTGAGGCAAAAGAACATTTATCCCTGGTGGAAAGCTGGAATTTTCTTAGGTCTTTAGAAGAAAAGAGAGGCTCTCTAGGGGTAACAGCTTTCTCTCCTCTCCGCTCCACCCCATGCTGCTGAGGAATGGGAATGGGGGCAGAGACTGTGAGGAAGGAGGTAGGCTGTGCTCTGAGCTTTTGAGGCTTCTTTGTAATAAATTTGATTATCCTCTGGTTCTTCTTGAATCCCCTTTCTGTCTTTGATATCATTTTTTTAGCATTTTGATTTGAGAGTATAGCCCTTGGGATATCAAAATCATGTAGGCTGTATGTTTGTTTCCTTGTTAAATACATCTAAACATCTTGAGTGAGTTTAGACCTTATCCCCTTTCTGTCTTTGATATCATTTTTTTAGCATTTTGATTTGAGAGTATAGCCCTTGGGATATCAAAATCATGTAGGCTGTATGTTTGTTTCCTTGTTAAATACATCTAAACATCTTGAGTGAGTTTAGACCTTATCCCTGTCTCACATCAAAGCAGAATCTACAGCGACTAGGTGCTGTCAATCACGTGAGTACTAAAGACGATGATGGCATTTCTCAGCTCCTGCTCTTGCTACTTACGCTTTGTTTCTCTGAAATAGCATTCTGTAAAATCATTTACACTCCACGATGTATTTATTAGGATTTTTAAATAGCATATTTAAAAGTGTCTAATGTTTTTTAATTTGAGGGCTCCAGTCTGCTTGATTTCTACATAAATTTTGCCCTATATCTATGAAACCTAATAGAAATGGCACTTTGGAATTTTAGTTGCAGTGGCCATTGAATCCATTATCACAGAATGGAAAATAATCTCCAATATACTTCAAATCCTAAGGCTGAAGCAGAAGCTTCTTGTTCTGTTCCTTCAATCATTCTTTTGTCTCTATCACACCATGTTCTGTCATGTAACTGACATGACTCATCATTAAGTTTGATGGAAATTTAAAATACCATTTTAAGTGAAATCAACTGAAACCTTACTTTTTTTTGCTTTTATACCTAAAATAGAGGATTTAGATATATTTTCTAGGAACGATGATGTAATATGTAAACAAGGAATTTTGGTATTGTTTGAAATATTTTCTCATGGGGACACACCACTAAATTTGTCACCTCTAAAACAGTACTTAGGTTAAATGCTTTTTAAATTCTTAAAACTGGGGTAAGAAGAAAAAATATTATGTAATTCTGCATTATTCATGTGACATATTTAGTGAGTCTATGTTGTCCATCTGTGAGTTCATTCTGTTTATTTTCAAAGCTCACTTTTGTAACTGGAAGAACTTTCACTGGGATGAAGGTAATTGAGGAGAATTGAAGTATTTTGGCATTGAGATCTTTTATTTGCCATGTGTTTACCAAGTCTATGAATAGTCAAACCTAAACATTTTTAATAATTATTTTTTGCCACACTCCCCTGAGGACAGCTTGTGTAGAATACCTTCTCCAGCATGACACTGGAGAGGGCAGTTTAGTGTACGAGTGCTAAAAAAGATACAAGGTTGGGAGAATGAAATGAAAAAAATGATTTCTCAATAGGACCAAGTATCATCTTGTATAAAATAAACCCCAAGCTGGTCATTTCCAACACGTATTCCACTTGTGTTGTCACTAATCTGCATCCACGGTCTGGTTGTTTTGACAAGTAAATGTCCTTGAAAAATGTAGGCAAGATAGGGAGGGATGAGCTTTCATTCACTCTCCCTTCATCATAGCTGGTTGTTCCCAGGGCTCATGGCCCCCAAGAATTCTCCTCCTGATGATGTCTTCCCCAGGCCATGGCAGCTGATGGGACCTTAACATATGTGACTGAGGCACAGCTGAGGCTCTCATGAGCCAGAGTCTTCAGCAGCAAACCCTTTCCCTGAGTTCCCCAACAGCCTCCTCTTCCGCAGACTCAGAGACCCTGCAGAGCTGCTCCCAGACAGCAGCTCATGTGGGCAGTTGGGACACCCCAGCAAGGAGGTTTGTGTTCAAGGCGTTACCACTGTGCAAGGATATTATGTAGCTTGCATGTATTAATAAAGTCGAATATCCTCAGCCTCCACCCTGCTAATTTTGAGTTTAAAATATGTGCCTGACCCACTGCTATTGAACCTGTCTGGGACTCCAGAGGCCCCATTGGAAACCCCATAGATCAGGAGCTGTGGAGACTCGCCTGGCTTCTATAGTTACCAATACAAATAGGTGTTTCCATTGCTATGCAGGAGGGTCTGACTAGACCTGCAGGAGATGAAGTACAAAGTTATGTACAAATATTATGAGCAAGTATCACGATTTCCCTTATGATATGGATTTATCATTTATCTTTTAAAAGATTTTTTATTCACATCATAAAAAATACGTTTTTAAAAATGAGCTTAGGCCGGTTGTGGTGGCTCACGCCTGTAATCCCAGCACTTCTTGGTCCGCGGCAGGCGGATCACCCGAGGTCGGGAGTTCAGCCTGACCAACATGGAAAAACCCCATCTCTACTAAAAATACATAAAATCACCTGGGGGTTGGGGGCTTATGCCTGTAATCCCAGCTACTTGGGAGGCTGAGGCAGGAGAATCACTTGAATCCGGGAGGCGGAGGTTTTGGTGAGCCGAGATCGCACCATTGCGCTCCATCCTGGGCAACAAGAGCGAAACTGGGCAACAAAATAAATAAATAAATAAATAAATAAATAAATAAATAAATAAGCTTAGTATTTACTAGGTACAAGCGACCCTTTATTAAAAGATATTATTCAAGGCACTGGTCATTGTTCTTTCAGGTGGTTTCTAATGATTACACATAGGCTCAAAGTAAAGGGAGAAAGAAAGATCTATCAAACAAATGGAAAGCAAAAAAGAGCAGGGGTTGCTATTCTTATTTCAGATACAACAGACTTAAAACTAACAATGATCATGGCTGGGCGCGGTGGCTCACACCTGTAATCCCAGGACTTTGGGAGGCCAAAGCGGGTAGATCACGAGGTCAGGAAATCGAGACCATTCTGGCTAACACGATGAAACCTTGTCTCTATTAAAAATACAAAAAAAATAGCCGAGCGTGGTGGCAGGCGCCTGTAGTCCCAGCTACTTGGGAGGCTGAGGCAGGAGAATAGCGTGAACCCAGGGGGCGGAGCTTGCAGTGAGCCGAGATCGCGCCACTGCACTGCAACCTGGGAGACAGAGAGAGACTCTGTCTCAAAAAACAAAACAAAACAAAACAAAACAAAACTAACGATAATCAGAAAGGACAGAGAAGAGCATTACATAATAATGAAGAGTTAAATTTAACAAGAAGACTTCACTATCCTAAATATATTATATAAGCACACAGCAGTGGAGCACCCTGATTTGTGAAGTAAGTTCTTAGAGACTTACAAAAACACCTAGATAACCACACAATCATAGAGTGAGACTTCAACCCACACTGACAGTATTCGACAGATGATTTAGGCAGAATAGTAACAAACATATTCAGAACCTAAACATGACACTTGACAAAATGGAACAAACTGACATCTACAGAGCAACCACTAAAAATTACAGAATATACATTCTTCCCATCTACACGTGGCAAAAACTCTAAAATTGACTACACTCTCAGCCATACTGCAAGTGTCAACAAATACAAAAAATAAAAATGATAAAATGAAATGGAATCATACCAACCACACTCTCAGGCTGAAGTGCAAAAAAAGTAAAAATCAACACCAAAAAGATCTTTCAAAAACCATAAAATTAAGTAGAAATTTAACAATCTGCTGCTTACAGACTTTTGGGTAAACAATGAAATTAAGATAAGAATTAAGAAATTCTTTGAAACTAATGAAAAAAAAGAGACAACATACCACAATCTCTGGGACACAGCAAAAGCAGTGTTCTGAGGAAAGTTTATAGCGCTAAATGTGCACATCAAAAAGTTAGAAAAATCCTGAATTAACAACCTAACGTCATACCTAGAGAAATCTGAAAAACAAATGTGAACCAACCCCAAAGGTAGAAGAATAATCAAAATCAAACCTGACCTGAATGAAATAGAGAGGAGAAAAACCAAACAAAAGGTCAGTGAAATCAAAAGTTAGGTCTTTGAAAGAAGAAATAAGATTGATAGACTGCAAGCTAGACTAATAAAGAAAAAAGCAATATCCAAAGAAAAACAACCAGAAGTGACAAACAGGATATTATCACTCAACCCTCAGCAATAAAACAAACAAACAAACGAAAAACCCTTGGAACCTATAACCAACACCTCTATGCACAAAAACTAGAAAACCTAGAAAAAAGTGCATAAATTGCTGGAAACAATCTACCAAGAATCTCGCAGGAAGAAGCTGAATGCCTAAACAGACCAATAATGAGTTCTGAAATTGAATCAGTAGTAAAAAGCCCACCTATCAGAAAAAGTCCTGGAAAAAATGGATTTACAACCAAATACTACCAGACATATAAAAAAAGCTAGTACCAATCCTAGTGAAATTATTCCAAAAAAATCAAGGTGGGAGATCTCCTCTCTAACTCATTCTATGAAACCAGCATCTCCCTGATAGTAAAAACTGACAGAGGCACAATAAATAAAAACTTCAGATCGCTATCTCTCATGAACATAAACACAAACTTTCTGAAAAAAATACTAGCAAACATTATTGTGTAGCACATCAAAAGCTAATCCACCATAATTAAGCTGGCTTTAGTCACGGGATGCATGGTTGGTTCAAAATGTAAAAATCAATACATGAGATTCACCTCATAAACAGAACTAAATACAAAAACTACAGGATCATCTCATTAGATGCAGAAAAGCCTTTTGATAGAATTCAATGCCCCTTCATGCTAAACACCCTCAAAATCTAGACAATGAAACTACACAACTTAAAATATTAACAGCCATTTATGGCAAAATTACAGCCAGCATCCCACAGAATCGACAAATGCTGGAGGCATTTTCGTTGAGAACCAGAACAAGACAAGGATACCCACTCTCACCACTCCTATTCAACATAGTACTGGAATTTCTAGCCAGAGCAATCAGGCAAGAGAGAAAAATAAAAGGCATCCAAATAGGAAGAGAATAAGTCAAACTATCTCTCTTTGAAGGCGATACTATAATATATTCAGAAAACCCCACACTCTCTGCCCAAAAGCTTCTAGATCTCATAAATAATTTCAGCAATATTTCAGGAAACAAAATCAATTTACGCAAATCAGTAGCATTTCTATATACCAATACCATTCACACCAAGAGCCAGTCCCAGAGCCCAATCCCCTTCACAGTAAGCATAAAAAGGATAAAATACCTAGAAATACAGCTTACCAAGGAGGTGAAAGATCTCTACAACATGAACGACAAAATACTGCTGAAAGAAATCAGAAATGACACAAACAAACGGAAAAACATTCCACCTGCGTGGATAGAATCAATACTTTTGAGCTGGTCATACTGCCTAATGCTATTTATAGATTCAATGCTATTCCTGTGAAACTACCAATAACATTTTTCACAGAATTAGAAAAAAAATTCTAAAATTTACTTGGAACTAAACTAGAGCTAAAAAAAAAAAAAAATCCTAAGCAAAAAGAGCAAAGCTGGAGGTATCACACTACACGACTTCAAGATATACTACAAGGCTACAGTAACTAAATCAGAAGAGTACTGCTACAAAAACAGGAACCCTAGACCAATGGAACAGGCTAGAGGATTCAGAAGTAAAACCGCACACCTACAACCATCTGATCTTCGACAAAGCTGACTAAAACAAGCAATGAAGAAAGGACCCCCTTATTCAATAAATGCTGCTGGGATAACTGGCACCTATATGCACTGAAATGGAAACCTTTCACTATATAGAAAAACCAACTCAAGATGGATTAAAGGCTTAAATATAAAATCTAAACTCTAAAAACTCTAATAAAAATCTAGGAAATGCCATTCTTGACATTTGCTCAGGCAAAGAATTCATGACATAGACTCCAAAAGCAATTGCAATAAAAACAAAAATTGATAAGTGCTATCTAATTAAACTACACAACTTCATTACAGCAAGAGACACTAACAACAGAGTAAACAGACAGCCTACAAAATGGGAGAACATATTCACAAGCTATGTATCTGACAAAGATCTAAGATCCAGAATCTACAAAAAATTTTAAAAAAATCAACAACAAGAAACAACTCCATTATAAAATGGGCAAAGGCCATGAAACAGACACGTATCAGGGAGCAGTGAAATGAGTGCTGGGAGCTGCCTGAGGTCACTCCTCTGCTTTTTCCATCTGGTTTTAAGTCACCTAATCCATCAAAATAAATACAATTTTGCCTCACCAGGCACAATGGCTTCTCTCATAGTCAACTGATTCAATGATAGAACAAGTAGAAGGAATGAATGGATTGTTTCCTGTGCTTCTCAACTCTTTGGTGTTCTCATCTCCTAAGCTCACCGTGTGTTTCATCTCCCCTCTGCTGCACTAACATCCAAGTGCATGTGATGCTTCAGCTGCGTTACGCAAAGCTTCATTCTGAAGTCTGTTGAAGTTAAGAGAAACTTTTACCAGAGGAAACGTCAGTAAATAAAAACAATCCTGAAATTCTTCTAGCTTCCACATTTTCTCTACTTCCTCTCTAAAATAGGTAGAAGGAAACCTAAAAGAAGTTAATCAAAAGAAAACATACAAGCAGCCAACAAACATAAAAAAATGGTCATCATCACTAATCATCATGGAAATGCAAATCAAACCACAATGAGATACTATCTCATGCCAGTCAGGATGGCTATTACTATAAAGGCAAAAAATGACAGATGCTGGTGAGGTTGCAGAGAAAAGGGAATGCTCATACACTGCTGGTGGGAATGTAAATTAGTTCAGCAGTTGTGGAAAGCAGTATAACGACTTCTCAAAGAACTTAAAACAGAAGTACCATTCGACCCAGCAATCACATTATTACATCTATACCCAAAGGAATATAAATCGTTCTACTATACAGACATGTGCACACATACGTTCATGGCAGCACTGTTCACAATAGAAAAGACATGAAATCAACCTAAATGACTATCAAAGGTAGGCTGGATTAAGAACATGTGGTGCATATACACCATGAAATACTACACAGCAATTAAAAATGAAATAATGGTCCTTTAGAGCTACGTGAATGCAGCTGGAGGCCATTATCCTAAGCAAATTCACACAGGATCAAGAAACTTGATCAGACAGCACCGTCCTGTGGGCACAGCCTCCTGCCTCACCATCTTCCTGTCACAATAGGAGGACTTTTCTTTTTCTTTCTTTCTGTTTTTTGAGAAGGAGTCTTGCTCTGTGACCCAGGCTGGAATGTAGTGGTATGATCTTGGCTCACTGCAACCTCTGCCTCCCTGGTTCAAGTGATTCTCCTGGCTCAGCCTCCGGAGTAGCTGGGATTACTGGCGTGTGCTAGCATGCTTTTCTAATTTTTGTATTTTTAGTAGAGACGGGGTTTCACCATATTGGCCAGGCTGGTCTCGAACTCCTGACCTCAGGCAATCTGCCTGCCTTGGCCTCCCAAAGTGATGGGATTACAGGCGTGAGCCACCGCGCCTGGCCTTGGAATTTTCTTGATCATGGAGACAAGGATGAGTGATATCTTGATCAGGGAGGAGTGAAATCAGTGCTGGGAGCTGCCTGCACTCACTCCTCTGCTTTTTCCATCTGGTTTTAAGTCACCTAATGCATCAAAATAAACACAATTTTGCCTCACCAGGCACAGTGGCTTCTCTCATAGTCACCTGATTCAATGATAGAACAAGTAGAAGGAATGAATGGACTGTTTCTTGTGCTTCTCAACTCAAGCTGACCAAGAGGCTGCCTTTGCTGTTCTCATCTCCTAAGCTCACTGTGTGTTTCATCTCCCCTCTGCTGCACTAGCATCCAAGTGCATGTGATGCTTCAGCTGCGTGTTACTCAAAGCTTCATTCTGAAGTCTGTTGAAGTTAAGAGAAACTTTTACCAGAGGAAATGTCAGTAAATAAAAACAATCTTGAAATTCTTCTAGCTTCCACATTTTCTCTACTTCCTCTCTAAAATATGTAGAAGGAAACCTATTTCTCCTTGATTATCAGGTTGTATGTCCCCAGCCCACACCATAGGACCCTTTGTTCAAAGTTTGTCCTGAACCATAATAAGAACTAAATGGCCACATGTTCATCATTTTTTTCAATTTAATGCAACAATTATCATGCTAATTCTTTGAATTAAGAACTATCAACTGGAAAACCAGACAAGAGTGAATAGAAACAACATTTCAATCTTCTCTGTACCCATAATAAATAGTCATCTCTCAGATTCTCCTATTCTGTTAATGGGGGTAACAACGTCATACACATCAGTGTTTCAGGGCCTCCAGCACATCTGGTAAGACAGTGATTTGACATTACAAGGGTTAGTGTTTTGGCTTTTCCTGACTACTAATGGATTTTCTCTTTTCTATAAGGACAGCTGCCCCTGGACACATGACAACATCGTGAATATACGTTGCTTCACTTTTTTTTTTTTTTTTTTTGCTATAGATACTTCCAAGTGATGATTCTGGCAGAAACATGACTGACAAGAAAGGCAAATCCGTATACAGGAAAACTACCACTGTCCTCTGGATGCTGGGTTAGGTGCACTGTACTCATTTGACACGCGTTGTTAGTCTGATCACTGATGTGTGGTTAGATGTTAGTGGTTTGGGAGGGGTAATGCTACTTGGCAAGTTGAATGCTCAGAAGAGCCATAGGTATGCAAGCCTCATTAACTGAAATTCATATTGTTGAGCTCCTGCATGGATTTCTATGGTTCATGTCACTTCCTAAAAAATCTGGGAAAGTTGACTGACTGAAGGCCAAGCATTCGATCCTCTTAATTACTAAGAGCTGGTCCTCAGTAATGGAATAGATATGAATATTCACTTAGGAAGCATTTATTTTTGATCTTGACGTATTTTCAAAGATCCAGTCATAGCTCTTCCAAACCAACTTTGTCTCGAGTCCTTCAGTTTTGTTTCTTCTGAGGCCTGGTGATCTCTCCAAACCAATAGCCAATGTTATGGAATTGCTAATCCCTCTTTGCAAAGTGTACGGTGACTTCACCCTTCGGGTTTGCCCACTCTTGTGACTGCTAGTCTCCCAGGGTATCCTTTACCATGGCAGTGGTATGACATCAATACAGCACCCAGTTATGAGAACTCCATCCAGCATGGCATCATTGGCAGCATATGCATGATTGGACTTCCATAGGATGAAATGATTAATTTTTAACAGTAGGCAGTTATCCCCATTCATACCCTTTACCCCTCCACTTGAGTTAGAAAAATATTTTAAGGTGTAAATACCCATTAGGTGAGTATTTTATAACTAAAGGTTATAAAGGAACTTTCTGTAGCCACAGCAGATACTACACCAGGTCTCGGGCACCAGTGTTCTTATGGGGGGAAACTGAAATCACCTTCACAGATTTCATTTTTATATAATTGTTTTGTAAATATGCATGTGTTACTTCTATATGGATATATAAATATACTTAAATAGACTTATTTAAAGATAAATATGTGTACATATACGTATATGCAGCCAATAATTTTTCAAAAATATAAATGCACCAATATGTATGTTATATACACTCAAATATGTATTTTCCCCAAATGACATCAATTTCATGGTTTTTATTGGTATTAAGTTTTAATGTTTTAAATGTTGTCTTAGTATCTCTATATATGGATTAATAAATATTCATATTTATGCCATCAATTTTAATAAAATGCATCTATCTAAATAGGTAGATGTATAAATACTGTATTGGTCAGTTTTTGCACAATAATTATTGACAATCAACCACTTAAACTCTTAGTGTCTTATTAACACTAAGTATTTATTTTCATATTCCTGAATGTTCATTTTAATAATCAGTTGGCTGATCCCAAGGCAGGGCTCAGCTGGTTGGTTCGGCTGCAGGGAATCGAGCTTGTCTCCAGCCTATGGATTGCATTTATCTGAGGCCAAGCCTGAAGGACACTGACTACTCAGGGCAGAAGATTCTCATGGCAGGTCGCAGGAGTAGACAAATCCCAAACCAAGCTGACCTGATACAATTAAGCCCGAGAATCTCTAACATAGGTACACACAACTTTAATTGATTCTTTCACTTGGTAATTATTAAAGTTTCTAAAAATGTTTACTCCATTTAAACATGAAGTTATTTGATAATTCTATGGACATATATAATTATGATTTTCAACCTTTGTAATCTTCAAAATGTTTTCAAATGCAATGTTGCATCAATTTGAAAGTAAAGCTGGGTGTGCTTTCAACATGTGACTCTCCATTGAAATTTTCTTAAATATCCTCATTGAGAAAAAAATAAATCTCTTTAGCTAAAATATCACCTAAAACATACCTTGTTAAGCTTTATGTAGATCACTTGTTACCGTGTTAAAATGAAGATTCTCTTTCAGGTAATTTGAGGTGGGCCTGCTATGTATCTTGCAAGGCACCCTCTCAGTATTGCTAAGGTGCTACTGGATTCTGGATAGTTTTGAGTAGCAGAGGACTTTCATATTAAGAGGAAAAATGCTACATCCATGTTTAGGATTTTCTCTTGTTTTCCTTTTTGTCAAGGAAAAAGGTTGTCAAACGATTGTTATAACTATCTATTTATCTTTTTGTTTTGTTTTGTTTTTTGTAGAGACAGAGTCTTCCTATGTTGCCCAGTCCAATCTCAAACTCCTAGGATGAAGCAATTCTCCTGCCTTAGCCTCTCAAAGTGCTGGGAATTACAGGCATGAGCTACCACACACAGCCTTATAATGTATTTCATACAGTTTCCTGATTTTTCTGTTTCATCTATGACTTAATGAAGTTTTCTTGCTATGAACCCAGAGTTGCTCGTAAGACGTGATAGCACATTCGAGTATATTCTGGGACAATCTGTAACTGGCAAAGTTTTGAGCCTTGTGGAAAGAGCAACCTTACTGACCTGTCAGCTGTCAATTCCCCATCGCTACTATCACTTCTGGACGCACATTTTCCAAAACTCCTTTTCTCTCTATGGTTTCTTTAGAGTTGCTTAATGAGAGGCACTCCCATGAGATTGGGAAGTCAGAGTGGTGGATTCATGTACTCTGACATCTGAAGTAAAACATGTGGAATTGTTTGTGGACTGGAGAATCACCTGGAGACGTGCTGCAGGCAGCTGAGAGCATCAGCACCCCAGCCCTCGGCTTCCCAGACAGGTCTGAGGATCATCACACGGTACTCAGCACATACCACCAGGGGCAGGTGCACTCTGACTTCTGCAGGAGCACCTGAGAATCCCCTGTCTCTAGTGGCTGCTTCACGAATAACATACCGTAGGCTTCAAAAAGACTAGTTTAGACTCTAATTTATTCAACTTGAACAATTTCTCCTTGAAATACCGAGAATAGCTTCTCTTTTGCTGTGTAAATTCCAATTATCCCATAACACAGACTCCTCAGGTGGACTTGTATCTCTTCCTTATTCAATCAGGACAGGCATTGTCACATCTTTTCTCCTGGGGATAGGGGCAAAAGAGGCTTAGAGTTCAGAGGAGCCTCCCTGGTCCCCTCTACAAAAGTCTCCCAATGACTTTCAAAACCTGACTGAGTTTGAGAAATGCTCTCAGCAGATGGAGGCACCAGGAGGAGCATCTGGGGTGGCTCGTCCTCACACATCTGCTTCCTTGGAGGTTTATGTTATGACTTGTAACACTGTGGGAGGGGTACTGTAACTCTGTTGACAGTAGTAAGTTGCAAAATCTTCAGGTTGCAGACTGCTGATGGTGAGAGTGAAATCTGTCCCAGATCCACTGCCACTGAACCTTGATGGGACCCCACTTTGCAAACTGGATGCAGCATAGATCAGGAGCTTAGGGGCTTTCCCTGGTTTCTGCTGATACCAATTTAAATAGCTGCTAATGCTCTGACTTGCCCGGCAAGTGATGGTGACTCTGTCTCCTACAGATGCAGACAGGGAGGATGGAGACTGGGTCATCTGGATGTCACATCTGGCACCTGAGATTGGAAACATAAAAACAAATATTCTTACTATTAATCATGTTATCAGAGAACTTCCCTGAAGTTCCAGTCAGTACTGAGCACACTGGCTGAGTAAATTCCTAGTGTTCTCCATCCTTACCTCGGAGCCAGAGTAGCAGGAGCCCCAGGAGCTGAGCGGGGACCCTCATGTCCATGCTGTGTCCTGACTGAGACTGACTCCTGCACAGGGTGCGACCAGCCCATAAAAAAGTCTTCAGGGCAGGGGGCTGTGCTCTGGAACATGCAAATCAATCAGCAGGGCATGGGGCAGGCTGAGCACAGCTGCAGGGCTGGCTCATCTTAGTAACTCAGCACAGGGGCAATGTCCCCAGGGTCCCAGGTCAGACCAGCGCAGCATAGATTTGCCTGGAGGGAATGTATTTCTCTCTAGAGCCGCTGTTGTGACAAGAGATATTTTGAAGGAAAAAAGTCAAACTTTAATACAAACCTAAGGACTATATGGAATAATATATTTTAGAGTTGTATTGGGAGTATACAGGAGAGTATAACCATTCGTAGGGAATGTCTAATGAAGTCTTAGAGGGTGGGTCTATCAGGCCTTCAAGTTACTTAAAGGGATGTGGAGAGTAACAATCCCTTTTGCTATAGTAACAACACCTCTGTGATTGTCACATGGTTCCCATTGTTTCATGTGAGAAAAACAGTCTTTATCAGAAGCATATTTAATACACTCCAAAGTATTTGTAGTGACCTTAAACATTTGTAATTACCAGTATATTTACAAGCAATTCCCTGCAGATGCACGATAATGATGCTGTGATTCCTCAGCGCCTGTGCCACTCATAGATCTTCCATTATCCAGAGCTATAGGTCTCTGTAATACCCAGGGTCTCAATGGGCAGCAGCTTCGTCTTGGTTTGGGGCTCCCCTTATTCTGCCCATTTTTCTGCCCTTGGGTATTATTTCCCATAGGTCATCAGTATGAAGGGTTGATTAGTAATGCTAGATCTGTTTACTTCAAAAAACATCTCTGTTTCTTCCTCCAGCTGTTGAAGCCTGAATCAGGATAAACTTGAAACTCTGGGTCAATCTAGAACCCCACATCAATTGTCTCCAAAGGAAGAAGGCCAAGGTAATGCAACTTGCCTAATGCTCTGATCTGCTTTTCCCACCATAATGTTTGTGAGTGTTCAGGTGTGGCTCTCAAAAATCATGGCTTTCTGGAAAGCAATGGGAGGGAGAGGCCCTGGGGAAAGGCCAGGTCAGTGAACACTTTCTCTTCTGTGAGGGTGGCGACCACTCAGTGCATTTCCCTGCCCTGCACCATCAAAGCCACTTTTCTCTTTAGCAGTGAGTAGGGACATCATCCTGACTCAGACGCCTGCCTCCTTGCCTCACATCCAGGAAAGAGAGTCTCCATCTCCTGTCAAGCCACCGCTCATGTACACGGAGAAATGCTTTGAAGCTGGATAAAACTTGGAAACAGATTTGAACCCCTATACCTCACATGTCTGCCTCTGCCCAGGCATCCCAGCCTGGTTGTGCAGCAAGGGAAGTGGAATCAACTACATCGACATGAGAAGACTAGAACCTGGGGAGTCCAGGGAGCATTACTCATGCATCACTAAGGGTGGGCAGACTGCTGTGGTATAGCCTGTACACAACCCCCTGCTCCTTTCCAGGGGCCTGAATTTCAAGGGCAGTTACTGGTAAACTGCTTGCTAAGATTTAGGTTCAGAGAGAAGCAGTTCTGGATTGCAATACACAATTTCGTGTGTGTGTGTGTGTGTGTGGGGGGGGTGAATATAGTTGTCACTCTTGCTACCCTTTCCCTTTTCCCTTTGCTGTACTTCTGCTGACCCCCCATGGCCATATCTTTTCCTCACTGCTCTATCTGAAGCTGGAGAAGGCAGCCCTGCCTGTACACATGGCCTATCACAGCACCTGGAATGAGCATCCTCTCGGAAAGCCCTCAATCAGTGAGGACAGGGAGGTGTATACATACCCCATCTCCCTCCCTTCTTAGGTGGAAAAATACTGAGACATTTTCCCATGTTTCCACGTGGGCTTGATCTCCATTCATCCTCTGTGGTAGCTTCTCGCTGAGGACATTTTCGGTATCGCTGCTCTCTTTCCTCTCTCACTGCCTTGTTTCCTCCTAGTGTTTACTGTGCATTATAAATATGCTGCCTGCATGGGCATCATTGTCCCTGAAAGATCCAACCTAAAACAGTGGACAAACCCTCATTCTTGGAAAGTATAGTCTGAATACTTGCCAATTCTTTTTTTTTCATGCATAGGGATATTCAGAAAATTTAGGAAACAGCTGAATTATCTAGGAAAGACAGCGTCATCAGAAGGGTCTTTATAATAGGGAGGAGTGGGGGTAACAGTCAGAGAGGAATAGGGACAATGGACAGGGATGCTTCAGTGATGGAGAAAGGGGCCAGGCAGCCCGGAACATGGGGCTATCTTTGAAGATGAAAAGCTGAGAATCAGATTCTCTCCCCTGGAACTTCCAGAAGGAATATAGAACTACGGATACCTTGATTATAAATCAGTGAGACTTCTCACTGCCAGAACTGTATGATAATAAATTTGTGTTGTATGAAACTAGTAAGATTCTGATAACTTGTTACAGCAGGAGTAGGAAACTAACACAAGGGGCAGGGGTGTCTTTTACCTCCTTAAGGGCATGGTTGCCCTCTGTTCTTCCAAATATTTTTATCTTGTCATTTTTTAGTGTCAATTTTAGCAAGACACACAGAAAATTTCACTGTGAAGATGGCTAGCACCAGAATCCTTGTTATGTGTAAACACTCTTGCATAAATCCCTTGATTAACTCTCGTACTCTCTGGATATGTGATTAACTCTTGTATCCTCTGGATATGAGAAAAGTAGGGGAATATTTGTTCATTTGTTTTCATATTGGGGGAGAAATCAGATTTACAGGACATCATTTGAGAAGGAAGGACTGGGACAGAAAGATGAGAATGGTAGAAAAGATGCAAAGTGTTCAGGGCAATGCAAGATGTGCTCTTGCCCTCGAATCTGAAAGAAAGACATTTAGTATTTGTAAAGACTTTGAGGAAGTTTTGCTTTGTAGACAAAACTGCATGAGGGCCTGAGTTTATAATTGGAGTAATCACGGTAAGGTGTAGAGGTAGCAGGGAGCTTGTGTTGAGAATTTCACACCACTCTTCTGGCTTTGTCTCTTCTTTGAATTTAAAGGCCATTCAATCGTATATGAAACAAACGTGGCCATGTGGAAGCAACATATTTAAGGTTATGCAGACCTGGGTTCCAAGCTCAGCCCTGACAATTGCTGACCACATATCTTTGGGCAAACCATCTCTGTTGAATAGTTTCAACTACGGGCTCTGATAACAGTTTACTCATCTGAAATGTATCACCAAGGGTATTAAGGGCTGTCCTGAGGGTTTCTCTAGTTGATGAAAAGACTGCTTTTCATACATATATATGTGCATATATATGTATGAAAAGACTACTTAGGGTCCCTTTTATGCGTCCTTGAGTATCTTAGAATGAAGATTCTAGATAAGATACTACTAGTCACATGTCATTTTTTTGTATTATTACACTTTAAGTTCTGGGGTACATGTGCACAACTTGCAGGTTACATAGGTGTACATGTGCCATATGGGTTTGCTGTACCCATCAACTCGTCATTTACATAAGGCATTTGTGGTCAATTTTAGAATAAGTGCGATGTGCTGCTGAGAAGAATGTATATTTTGTTGATTTGGGATGGAGAGTTCTGTAGATGTCTATTAGGTCCACTTGGTTCAGAGCTGAGTTCAAAAAGTCCTGGTTTGGTGGGTTTTTTGTTTGTTTGTTTGTTTGTTTGTTTTGGAGGCAGAGTCTTGCTCTCTTGCCCAGGCCTGAGTGCAGTGGTGTGGTCTCGGCTCACTGCAACCTCCACCTCCCGAGTTTAAGGGATTCTCCTGTCTCAGCCTCCCGAGTAGCTTGGACTACAGGCACGTGCCACCATGTCTGGCTAATTTTTTGTATTTTTCAGAATTTCTGAAAAATTTTGTATTTTTCAGATTTTTCATTGTGTTAGCCAGGATGATCTCCATCTCCTGACCTTGTGATCCACCCGCCTTGGCCTCCCAAAGTGCTGGGATTATAGGCGTGAGCCACCAAGCCCAGCCTCAGATGTCATTTTCAACTAAGAACTGTCAATATTTATTCTGTAACTAACAGATGCCCCTGTATATACTGGGTGGCTTCCTGTACAATGTTTCCATCATAAAAATCTTCTTCTAACCAATTATGTGTAACATTAGAGAAATGAAGGTGGAGAGTGCAAATCATCATACTACCTTTAGGCTGGACTTATCCTAAGCCCCATTTTTATTAGAATTCTTGGGCTGCTATAACAAATTACTAAAACTTTGGTGGCTTAAAGCAACAGAAATATATTCTCCTCCTATAGTTCTGGAGGCCATAAGTCCAGCACTAGTTTCAGGGGTCAAGAGCAGGCTGTCATCAAAGCTTCTGCAGGGACTCCAGCGGGGAGTCTACTTTTTGGCTTCTTCCAGCTTTTGGTGGCTTCAACTTTCTTTGGCTTGAGTCCACATCACTTCAATCTCTGCCACTGTCTTCAAATTGCCTTCTCTTCTGCAGACTTTGTTAAAATGTCTGTCTATGTCTATCTTATAAGGACAATCGTGATGTCCTTATAAGAGAGATAGACAGACATTTAATAAAGACAGGCCCATTTAGGGCCCACCTGGTCAATACAGGATAATCTGCCCAATTCATAATCCTTAATTTATATATGCAAAGGCCCTTTTCCTATATAAGGTATATGTATCGGCTGCATGGAATAGAACCTGAGCATTTGAGCATCATACTCAACAATAAACCATTAAAGAACATACTATCAGTGTTGGTACTATACACACATCACAGGCTCTTCTCTCTCTCTCCTCCTTTCTCTCTCTTCCTTGTGACTATAAATTTCCTCACTTCCCTAAGTGTATCCAGTGCCACCTATGTCCAGGTTAGAGCAGCACACATAGGAAGGCCTTGCTGAGGTTTTGCTTAGAGACCTGCTCTATCCCTCATTATCATTCAGAAAGAAGGACACAGCCAAAGACAGCCCTCAGCCATCTGGGGAGCAGCTGTCTTTACAGAGGACAGTCACAGGCTATCATTCTCTGGACCTCTGTTTATCTTCAGATGTCTGTGGCCCTCAGCCCTCAGTGAGGGTCTGTGTGGCAACTGATTCGAGTAGGATCCAACAGGACCCTTATCAGAACATCTGGTTCACAGAAGGCAGTGAGTATAAGGTAGGAGATCATCAGGGCTTGTATTCTGAGCACTGATCACAACACTGGTCATGACAACGCTGACCAGAACAGGATCTGGACAAAACAGGATGCACTACAGAAACTGGCCCAAACCAGCTAGAACAAAGATGGTGACAAAAACGACCTCTAGAGCACAGTGTGAGTGGATCTTCCCCTGGGGGCTCCCATCAGACAGAGTGGCAGCCATGGCTCAGTGCTGGGTGGTCATAGTATGAAACCCCCCCACGGTCTTTTCATAGCCCCCCTCTGACTGCAGTGATGTGGGATTTCTCTGTCCAACTTTCATGGCTCCAGCAGCTTCCGGGACTCTGTTCACAGTGGGAGGTCATGAAGGTAGTTAGGCTACTGATGGCCAGAGTGACGTCTGTCCAGACTCACCCCCTTGACCCAGGCAGGCATCGTGTCCAGGGAGCAGTGGGAGCCAGCAGGAGCTCAGTGTCAGCCCTTATTTCACAAGGAGCTAGGCTAGACACTGTTATTTCCCTGACTGGCTCTGCTGGTGACAGTGACCCTGTCTCCTGGAACACAGGGAGGGGCCTGGAGATGAGCACCACACAATATCCCAACTGTCATATAAGGGGGGAACAAATATGAACATCCCCAAATATTAATTGTAAGTACATACTTCATTCAGTTTGATTAAATTCTGAGAAAGCAAAATGGGCTAAAAACTTCATCTTGAAGGAAACATTCATGTTTAATGCACAGAAACTGATGATGAAGCTTGAGTCCTCCCTCTTCACCAGAGAGTTGGAAAAACAGGAGGAAGAGGAGCAAAGCTGGGACCCCATGTCCACGAGGGCCTCCTGAAGCTGATCTGCTCACAGAGGGTGGGGAAGATGGATGAGTCAGCTTCCGCTGCCACACCGTAACACGGGGCTGGATGGCTAAACCACAGAATTTAATTTTCACATTTCTGGTGCCTGGAATATCCCAGATCGACGTTCAGCAGAGTTTGTTTTCTGCTAAAGACCTTATTCCTGGTTTGTAGGTGCCACCTTCTCACCATGTCTTCACACAGCCTTTCCATGGAGGGGAAGGCGGTTAGAGAGAGAGAAGAAAAAGGAGAGGTCTCTGGATCCTACAAAATCATGAATCCTACTGGATCAGGGACACCCCCTGCCATGACCTCAATTACATCTTTAGAGGTTCTGATTTCTACAGTCACATTGAAAATTAGGGTTTCAACATGAATCTGAGGGCACAATTCAGTCCATAGCAGGTGGGACACAGCCAAGGCCGTGCTTCCAGTCTCAGGGCATGGGGCAGGTTCCCACAGCTCAGCACACGGGTGGCTCCTCCCAGGTGCCCAGGTCACAGGGAAGATTTGACTCTAACTCTAGGGCTCCCTGTTGATAATGGGACACCAGCACTCCTACTTCCCCAGTGTTCCTGAGACCATGGTGCTGTCCTTTGTTCATTGTGGAGCATGTGTGCCATCTTCAGGCAGGTCTTTGACATAGCAACTTATAGGACATTTGATTCTGTGATTGTGAAAATTAATTAATAGATTAATTAGTCATAAATAACAAATTAAACAATACATTGAATCAGAAACAAAGGAGGGCCAAATGAGGAGCTTAAAAGGAGTCTGAGTGTCTTAAAAAGACGTATTCCTTTCAAACAAGAACAGTTAGAGTCACAGATTTTTTTAACAATAACTTTTTAGTAGCAATTATGAAATAGTAAATGATAACTTCAAATAGGCTACTACAAATATAAGTTTACAGTCAAAAAATATTTTCAAGAATCATGTAAACACATTTTCAGATTAAAACAAACAAACAACGAATGTGGGTTTATCTGCAGATCCACTCACTGGAAAACTTCTCAAATGTGTGATTGAGTCAAAAGTACATTTGTCACTGATGGAAAGCTCCAGGTTTGTTTTTTTTTTTTCTGTTTTTGTTTTTAGTCTTTAGAAGAAAACAGCTTTCTCTCCACTCTGTCCCACCTCATGCTGCTGAGGATGGCTGGGCAGGCAATGACTGTGAGGAAGGAGGAAGGCTGTGTTCTCAGGGTGTTCGTGCCTCCTGCC
Source organism: Homo sapiens (assembly GCF_000001405.40). Classification (NCBI taxonomy): domain Eukaryota; kingdom Metazoa; phylum Chordata; class Mammalia; order Primates; family Hominidae; genus Homo; species Homo sapiens. The sequence goes on from NW_012132915.1 coordinate 436,110, forward strand.
CACCGGAGTGACCTCACGGAGCAGAGCCACCTACACCACCAAGGCCACCTGCCTGCCTCTGCACTGCCATGGCAACAGACAAAGAAACCTTGTTACATTTAGTTCACCATATTATGAGGCTTCTTTGTAATTAAATTTGATCATGCTCTGATTCTCCTTGTATCTCTCCCCTTTCAGTTTTGGGGATCATATACTTTTCACTATTTTGACTTGAGAATATATGCCTTTGGGATATCAGCATCATGTAGGTGGTATCTTTGTTTGCTTTCTCCAAAATATAACTAACTACCTTGAATGGGTTTTCATTTTATCTCCTGTCTCGCAGAAAAGCAGAAACTCAAGGTGACTAGGTGCTGTCAATCCCAGGAGGGCTAAAGGTGACGATGGCATTGCTTACCTCGTGCTCTTGCTACTTACATTTTATTTTCTTTTACTGCATTATGTAATAAAATATAGGGTCAATGATGCATTAATTAGTATTTTTCAATAACATATTGAGTGTCTCATATTTCTTAGTTTGAGAGCTCCGGTCTAATAAATATCTATGTACATTTTGCCACGCAACTTTTAAACCTAACAGAAATGACACATTGGAATTTTAATTGCACTTCCTATGGAATCTGTTATCTTGAAATAAATCATCTCAAGTATTATTTAAACCCTTAGCCTGTATCAGGATCTTGTTCTGTTGATTCAGTCTTTTGTGTCTCTACACCGTGTTATCACATGTGACAGACATCACTCATTACTCGGGTTCGTGTAAATTTATTTGGCAGAATGATCAGATCATGGATGCAGATTAGTGGTAACACAAGTGAAATACATGTTAGAAATGACTGGTTTGGAGATAGTTTTTTGCATGATAACACTTGGTCATATTGCAAAATTGCTGTCTTCCCACTTTCCAAACTTTCTCCTTTACCACTCACACGAAACTGCCCTCTCTAGCATTATGGTAGAGAAAGCACTGTTGCTTTTTTAACGAAAGCATTTCTGTTAGGTTTAAAAGTTGCATGACAAAATGTAGATAGATATTTATCAGACTGTAGCCCTCAAATTAAGGAAGCATATAAATTTAGAGCACTATTGTCAATGGAATATATTAAGAGCATAATTTTTCTATGCATTAACAACTAAAATAGAGGATTCAGATTTATTTTCAGGAATAGTATCATATAAAAATAATGCATTTATTCATTCTTTGAATCATTTTCTTATGACAACATAGCACTAAAAATTTTCTCTTTAAAATGCTATGTCAGTAAAATATTTTTAAAATTCTAAGAATTTGAGAAGGAAATAAAAATCTCATATAATTCTGCATTGTTCCTGTGGTACATTATGTAAACTTTATGTTCTCCATCTGAATTATTTTGTCTATTTTCAAAGCCCACTTTTGGAATTGGAAGAACTCTATTTTCAGTCAGCAAAAGGCAACTGAGGCAAATCAAACTATTTTGGTATTAGGATTTATATCTGTCCTGGATTTTAAAAATCCATAAGTAGTAAAAATAATTATCCTTGGCCATACTCCCATGAAAATAGCTGGTGCAGAATGCTTTTTCCACCATAATACTAGAGAGGGCAGTTTCATGTGAGTAATAAAGGAGAGAGAAAGTTTGGAAAGTGCGAAGACTTGGCTCCACCCAGGAAGCCATGCAGCAGTGCTTTCAACTCTGTGGTTCTTCACAAGTAACACATTTGGCCCCTTTTTGGATCCACATCATCAACTGCCATCACCACCACCAGCCACATCCCCACCCACCATAATCAAGGGCAGTGTAATTGAACAATAGCTGATCTCTCTTATGTTCTCTTCATGCTCCCATTCCTGCAGTCTGCCCAATCTCAAATTCTGAACTTTGGAAAATAAAACTGTTTACCTCATCCTGTATTTTCTCAGTGATCCCTGGAAAATACTACATCTTTAGTATACTGCATCTTCCAGTGTATGCATTTTATTTTTAAAACCAACTTTCAAAATTTCAAGAACTCCCTTTTTCTATCAGCAAGAGGTAATTGTAATCAAAGAGTTTTAGTATTAGGAACTTGCGTCTGCTATGAAATTACAAAATCTATTTGACACTCACAACCAAGATCTTACTGATTGTCCTCAGCCAGCTCCGCCAGAGGAGAATTAGTGAATAATCCTGTCTCTACTGTCTCATGGAGTGGAGAAGAATGGCAAACAGGAGAAGTAGGAATTTAAAAAGTGGGAAAATACCAATTTTACATATAACCAAATATTTTCTTTGAAAGGTACCCAAAACTGTTAAACCCTAAAATGTACTCAACATGTTTTGCCAGAAATAATCAGTAGTCTGGCCCTTTTGCTCAATAAATTTAAACAAATGTAGGCAAGGAAGGAGGATTCAGATGAGATTCCATTCTCCTTTCCCTATCATCCCAGTTTTTTACTCACAGGGCCCTAGAACCTCCTCATTTTCCTGTTGGTTATGAGAGTCAAGGCTGTGGCAGGTGACAGGAACATAAACAGGGGTGCTGACCTGCCACAGTGGCTCACACTGTACTGCCAGCACGTTGGGAGGCCAAGTCAGGTGGGTGGCTTGAGCCCATGATTTTGACAACAGGCTGGGCAACATGGTGAAGCACCGACTCTACAAAAAAATAGAAAAATTAGCCATGTTTAGTGGCATGCACCTGTAGTCCCAGGCAGAGTCCTCAGAAGCAAACCCTGCCCTGTATTCTCCAACAGCCTCCTCTTTTGCAGACTCAGAGACGCTGCTGACCTGCTCCCCAGACAAGCAGTGCATGTGAGCAGCTGGGGCACCACAGCAGGGAGGTTTCTGTTCAGGGCTGTACCACTGTGGAAGGAAACTCTATACGTTGCATGCAGTAATAAACTCCAACATCCTCAGCCTCCACCCTGCTGATTTTCAGTGTGAAATCAGTGCCTGACCCACTGCCACTGAACCTGTCTGGGACTCCAGAGGCCCGATAGGAAAGCGTATAGATCAGGAGCTGTGGAGACTGCCCTGGCTTCTGCAGGTACCAGTCCAAATAGGTGTTTCCATCATCACTATCCAAGAGGCTCTGACTAGACCTGCAGGAGATGGAGGCCGGCTCTCCAGGGGTGACGGGCAGGGAGAGTGGAGTCTGGGTCATCACAATATCCTCACTGGATCCTGAAATAATAACAGAGAAGTGCAAGTTTATATAGATACATTATGAGCAACTTTCATAATTTCTCTTGTGATATAAATTTACAGTTACATTTTTAAAGTTTTGATTTATATCATGAAAAGTAGACTTTCTAAAATAGACCCATTATTTATTAGCCACAAGGGAACTCTTTTTTTTCAAGTTCTTAATCAGAGCACTGGTCATCGTTCCCTGGAGGTGAATCCTGATTATTCATAAGACAAACCTGAATTCCATTCCCTGGAGCATAGACCATGTGCCTCTATCACATTATTGGAATAAACATGTGAAGCTGTGGAGCCCACAGAGCTCACCTCCCACCCAGTTGTCCTCCCTCATCTCTTTCTGTCCTTACCAGGGACCCAGAGCATTAGCAGCCCCAGGAGCTGAGCAGGGAGCCTCATGGTGAGAAGGTGAACTGAGGAGTCCTGATCAGTCAAGGCAAGGATAGAGCTGAGCTTTTATCTCAGACTCACAAGGGAAGGTCCACCCTAGGGGACAATATGCAAATCACCTGGTGGGTGCAGTGGTGTGGAAAAGGTTGACGGGGCAGGGGGAATGTCTCTTCTGTGAACAATGTGATATAAATTGTCCTTTGGAATAAAACAGAACTAGATTCAGCCAAGTTTGCCCACAATCAAGGGAAGAAGGATCTGAAGGTGAAAGTTCGGACCTTTTGTAGGGACACACTGTGTAGGGCATGACTGTAAGAAAGCACCAGAACCCTGACAATGTGGAAATGTGTGTCTAGGATACATCTCTGGGAGGTGAATGCCATCTGGCTTGATTCCCTCCCAGTCAATCTAGAGTATGAAACAGGCCCATCCCCACAAGCACTGCTGAACTGAGAGCCTGCAAATAAAAAGCGGCCTGGAGCCAGTTCAAGGGCTGTCTGGTATCTACTGTTTCCAGGATAACTGTTCAAGAATGTTCAACTCAAATATTAGAATCTACTCTGCCTTGGCACCTGGTGAGTGAACAGCATAAGAGCTCTCTGTCCAAGCGCCTCACAGGGAGAATGATGTGAGCCTCTACATTTAGAGCCAAGAGCCCAGTGTAAGAAAAAGGAAAGAGAGACAAAATTTTGTGCCTCCAGCAGCAAATTTAAAATTCCTGGTGACCAGTTGTTCAATCTGGGATCTATCTCATCATAATCGTCTCACACATACAAGGTTAACCAGAGGGCTCTTTCTTTTTTGTTGTTTCTGTTTTTGTTTTTAGTAGAGATGGGGTTTCATTCACCAAGTTGTCTGGGCTTGTCTTGAACTCCTGACCTCAGGAGATCTGCCTGCCTTGGCCCCTAAGGTAGTGGGATTACAGGTGTGAGCCATTGTGCCTGGCCCAGAGGACTCTGTCTTAAGGGAAGAATCTTCTAGATTAATGATACAGAACAAATAAGAAATAACTTTGCATGATGTTTTTTCAAGTGATGATTAGAAAAGCTCTTCCCACACAGTCTCCCTGGTCATGTGGAATCAGGTCCTGTCAGGGCTTCCAGGTTCTCGTCAACTCTGAGTGAGACGTGAGTCTCCCCCAGCCTGGATGTGGTGCAGCCACAGCCACGAGTCCACAGATCCAAAGGAAATTCTCTGTGTATAAAGAGCAAGAACTGCATTCACAGTTTTACATCTCTGGGTAACCTGTACTTGTAACTGATATTTTCTTGACTTTATGTAAAAATGCTCACAGCTTAGGGATGTGAACCTACCATACAACTGATCATTAAACAGAAAAACAACCACACTGTTCTTTATTTGTCATCGATGTGCTTAACATTCCATTGAACAGCTCCTGAATAATGGTGCCAACAATAAATAGTTTCACAAGGACAGTCACATTTCTGAAAAAAAAATAATAATCCAGTAACAATGAAGGACTAGCTTGTAGTGTGATGTAAGCTTGGGTAATTTAACACAAAGCCATACTTAATTGCCCAAGAACACAAATAAATGCCATTGTAGGTAAGACTGCAAAGAAAGCTTGATCTGAATATCTTCTGGGAAATCTACCAAAATATCATTTTTTAATAAGATCGGAAAACATACTTGATTAAAAATGATATTGACCTTCAAATGTTGAACTCCATGACAATAATATGGGCTGATGATATTAAACAGTAGCTACGAGGAGGTATTGAAATAAAAGTCTCATATTTCACTGTTAAAATTTTATTTATTCTTTTCTCTTATTACATGTTGCAAATTTTGGGTACCCGACTTTTTTTCTGATGATGTCAGCAAATTCTGATCTGCTTCTTAGTGTTGAAAAGGTCAGACTCTTAACCATGGTAGTGAAAAAAAGTCAGAAACATCTGAAGCTGAAGGAATGGAAGAAGGAGACATAAACAGCCTAACTAAAATAGAACAAAATGGTCCATTTTATTGTTAGTTTTAAATAATTATTCTGAAAGGGTGTTAAATCAATAATCAGTTTTATCCATTATCTAATGCAAAGATTTGAATTGCAGGAAAGTGATTAACAGTAAAAAAAATTGCCCTGTTTTCTTTTACTGTAAGCCAATTCTTGAAAATGTTATTTTCACAAAGTATTTAGATTGCTTGAATTTAGGAGAGCATTGCTGTTTTCTATGAGAATGAATGAACCATTAAAAAGACTACCCCTGGGATTTTTAACAAAAATCTCATGATTTGTCGCCTTACATATCTGGAAAATGTAAAAACTTGGACAAATCCTTTTTTAGTCAGAAAAAGCCTTTGAAATTACCCGATTTAAACTGTAGACTTAAAGAACACTATTACTAATTCTAACCAGAATCCTCCCTCTCTTATCTGTTGATGCATCCTACCAGGGCTTTCACAGCAGCAGACAAAGCTGGTCACTCTACAGTGGACACAGACAAGATGGAAGAGCAACCTACATTTGAACCAGGGTGGGAGCAGGCCTCTATGTGTCTCTCATCTGAATCATGGTCATCTGAATGAGGGAGGATTTCTACAGGCAGGGTTTAGTGTGGCTGTGTCTCCTTTTCCTGATTGGTTAGTTTGGGATCCATGTAATTGAAAAGAACTGTATTACTCATATGACTTGAGAAGAGAGTCTTGGAAGTGGAATTGTTTGTGTTCATTACCGGGAATCAGTGTTTATGGGGTGGACACTGTGATCCTGTTTGTAGGGGGGTTGAGGGATTTGTTGGCTGACCAAGGAAAAACAGATGACCACAGACAGCAGTAGCACATGTGACCTAGTCTATTGGGTGAAGCTTTGACAGGTTTACAGCAAGAAGTCCCTCACAGCAGGTGGTAGTCCAGAGAATCAGGTGCCAGGGTTGTTTCTCAAAATGTGCAGGACACTGTAGAAGGGATATGCATTTAGGGGATGCCACACAGCAGCACAGTGGGGAGTTTCTGTGTCAGAGAGCTACAGAGACCAGTATTAAGTTTAAGGTTTTCATAAACCGGGGCTTGTCTTACCTACTGCTAGCAGATGTGGGTCAGGCTTTCTGGATATGTAGATTAAGTATTTTCTAAAAGGTTAAAACTATTCTTATTTTTGTGGTTTTTAAAACAATTACGTTTTAAAATTTGAGTTTGGCACAGGCCATTGAGAAATAAGCCCACAGTTTTGAAATAAACAACATAGCATTCTCATTTATAGATCCCTGTTGCACATCGTGTAGACTTTGTTCTACAGACTGTATTAGTCCAGACAGTGCAAACCCACACTGTTATGGATGAGGCTGAGACACACAGAGGCCTGTTCCCTACCTGAGCATCAATGAACCTTCTTTAAATTAAAGGTGAGAGTTTGTCCTTAGATGAGAATTAAGACCAAGTCACCCACAAATGGAGCTTCCATCTGTGAAGCTACAGGTCCTGTGAATGGATTCCTGGCTCCCAGGCACCTGGGAATGAAGCCGTCTGCGTTGTCTCACTAACTGAAATTGTCCCTCGCTGGAACAGAGATTCATGGATAAATATTCTGGAACACAGGGAGAGAGCACAGGGAATGTAGGCTCCTTGAATGTGTGTCTTCTGCTTCTGAGAATCTCTCTCTCCAAACATTGAAAGAAACAGCATTGTTTCCATATCAGACTTTTCTGAATCTTCGGACCCTGTTCTAGATCTGTCTCATCTGAACCTGTTTCCAAATGTTTCAATTCTGGTCTCTACTTTTTCTTGGAAAAGGTTTTCAGAAATCCTATGAAACTATCCACACAGCTGTGGGATTAAGTGGTGGGCTTCTCCTCTGTGCTTGTTAATATCTCTGGAGAATCCACCACACCCACCAACTGCACAAAGTGAAGTTATGAGTCTGTTTTCTTCCTGAGCATTCTGTGTCTCATAAGTTCCCCTCGAATTCACATCCTTGAAGAAAGGGGTCTCCGTCCTCAAAAGTAAAACTCTATAAAACCATAGCTTGCCTGAGAAGTTAGTATAATTTTTCTACTCTTTGAATGTGAAGTTAGCCTTGAGGCCTTATAGTAAAACCTGGTTTACTTGAGAGATGGGAAATGAAGATCCCAAGAAGTTTTTAGAGACTAAATTGGGGATTCTAGCCATTTAAACTGTAGTAGAAGCTGCAGTTGATATAAGAACTTCTATGAATATAACAAGAAAATAAAGTGGAATAACTTATTTCTTGTAACTTAGATAAGAACTTCAATGAATATAACAAGAAAACAAAGTGCAATAACTTATTTACTTGTAACTTAGATAAGATAGTTTACCTGTAGAAAAAATGAAAATAGAATTTGTGAGTTCTCACATCGTTTTTTTCATGTTAAACAATTTTAAGAATCAAGCAAATGTTTATATAAATTATAATTTATAATGTTTAAGACTCTAGAGAAAAATTATGGTTCAAATCAATCAAACTGAGTTCTAAAGACAGCTGAATTTTTCCTTTAACTGCTTCTTTTCACCTCCTGTTAGCAAAAATCAAAAGTACAGAAAAGGAAACAGACAAGAGCTGAATAAAGCATTTAGTGCTCATTTCTTGTCTTATAATAATACTATTAATAATTAATAATAATAATACAGCCTCTGCATTGACAACTGGAAATAGTGACTCTGCCCTTCTGGAAGCAGCAGCTTCACATCACAGCAGTGAACTTCATTATAACTTGGTGATTCTTGGGCAGGAGCTAAGGATCACCCAAGTGTAAATGCTCTGTGAAGAGCCAGTTGCCCTTATGTTGGAATACTTCTAGATATTAACTCTTCTAAAATATCTACCAGCAAAAAAAAAAAAAAATGAAGCATCAGTAATAAAATGAAATAAATTCTGACTTCCCAGGAGCAGTCAAGAATAAAACTATCATGTTTAACAGAGGACTAGAGGCATAATTTCCTGCTAGCTACTGATTTAGCTGGATCTTACTCATAGTAAATAGTCTTACCTTAGTAAATTAGAAACATCCTCAACCTAGAAAATGGTTTCTTTTGTATTCTGGAATCCTAGCAGTCCTAGGCAAAAATTAATACTGAAAATAAGAAGGTACACAAATCTGTTATAACAGGAAAACTATTATACAATTATTTGTATAAGGCAAAATAAAAGGAAGAAACCTATTGACTTATGGAAGATTAAAGCAAATACTTACTAGTCATTAATAGTCCTAATAAGCCATAAAGCAAGAGTAATATCTTTTGTCTCTGGCTTGTGATGGTATTAAATTTCAAAATAATGATTTTGTTTTGGGTTAAAACTAACTTCATAGGTTTTCTCAGAGTAGGTCATCTTACTCAGAAATTATAGAGGAAAATGAAAATAAAGAAAAACCTATTATGAAATTTGCCCCAGGTTAACCTTTGCAGAGAGACTAAGAGAAGGATACCATTTAAATGATCCTATTAATAGCATTAAAATATTTAATTTGCTAGGCAAATCTAAAATCAACCTTTTCTCTAGAATTTGAAGGAAGACAATTATATATTTAGAGAATTTGACTTGAGTGTCCTTGTGAGTGGCTGACAGACAAACAGACCAGATGAATGTTGGTGCAGTAGAATCAAGGACATCACAACATTAAATTTTCCTCATTAGAGAGCAAGTCCAGATACTGCACCACGACCGGGTCAATGATCAGAAAATTACTTGGGAACTCTTTGTGGCTGCCTAGTCATATTGTGGCTGTGGTTGAGAGGCTGATTTCCCCTGGCTGGTATTGCCCTGCACCTTGAATCTGGGCATTCGTCTCTACTGCTGCCATCAAATGCCACTAAATGGTGTCCCCATTAATAAGGCCTTTGTAATGTGTGTAACATAAAGACGGAGTGAATCAGAGTTCAGGATTACAGGAATATTTATTTTATTCCAGTGTTGTTAATATGTGTCTTTGTCTTTCAAAGAAGGAAGCCACAAATAGGACTTCTTTGGTTTCTGGAGGCTACATATTCTACCCCTTGGAATACAGGTTTGGCCCAGCAGGTGACATGAAAGTCAGCCAGTCGTGAGTGGGACTCAGGATAGAAAAGGGCTCTGCAGCAGATCCAGGTTGAAGTGCAAACGGCCCAGCCTCTTGGGCCACTGCGGATGCAAACGACTTCAACAATGCTATCAACCATCTGGACAAGGCTGATACTTAGAGAACACTCCACCAAACCACAGCAGATTCCATGGTCTTTCAAAACATTGGCTAATGATACACTATATTTTGGGCAACAAGATATTTCAAAAAAACCAAGCTGATTAAATCAAAAAAATAAATTATTCATAACTGAGGGGATTGTATTAGAAATCAGAAACAGAAAGTTATCAGAATGGGGTTGGTGGGAGAAGGAGGAGGAATGAAAAATTACCTATTGGGCACAAGGTACACTGTTCGGGTGATGGGTAGCTAAAGCCCAGAGTTCACTACTATACAATTCATCAGTGTAACCAAAAACAACTCTTACCAATAAAGCCACTGAAATTCTAAATTTAATTTTTTAAAAATTTGCCAAAAAGAATCTAAATATTTGGAAAATATGTAAAGTACCACTATATGTAGTTTGGGGCAAAGAAGCAACAAAAAGGGAAATTAAAAAGTACTTGGATCTGAAAGTAAACATCACATATCCAAATTTATGAGATTCAAAAAAATGCAGTTAATTTATAGCATTATGAATGTGTTTTAGCAAAGAAGTTTTCACATCAATCACTGGAAATGTAATCCTGACAAACTAGGAAAAAAAGAATAAATGCCACTCAAAAGAAGGGTCTTTTATTCTTAGAAATGTGAGGATGTGACAAGCACACATCTAGTATTCCACCAATACAGTCATATCAGTCTCCAAATGAAAACACCATTAGCAGCTGCACAAGAAGAAAGTCTTAGAGTGGACGAGCAGAGTGAGTTACTGCTCAGAGAGAATGAGGAGTCAGGGAAAGTCAAAATAGGATTCCTGTGTGATATTATTATGAGCTGCACAAACATGAGACTGCCCTGAGCCCTGACTTACTCATAAGCCGAACATCATGGAGTGCAGGCCATTTTCCAGCCTCCTGATGGTTGGTGAGAGTGGGGTCACTTGGCAAAGGCATGGAGACTCGCTATGAAGGTCATCAGTGGCAGCAGGTGAGGACAGGACACACTAGGGTTCCCTTACAGTGACATGACTGAGCATCCCTACAGCCATGAGAACAGCAGGGAACCTTAGGGGCTGCTCCAGGGATGATGTGGCAGCAAACCCTGGAGGGTTGGTGGGGCTTCAGCGCCCTACATGTGGAGGAAAGAGGAGGCTTTGGAAGGTGTCCTGGAGGACCCTGGCCCTGTTCACACAGAAGAGGAGCCTGTGCCTATGACTAAGGCCTCATGGCCTCTTCCTTCCTCAAAGGCTTTCCAGTCATCTCCCTGAGCCCACCTGACTCCAACTGCTGGAGACACATCCCCTGGCACCGCACCTGCTCCTGCCACACTGAGAGGCTGAACTTACTTTGAGGTTTGTGTTTGGGGCCATCACACTGTTCAGGGACCCGGTGAGTGTCCTGCTCACAGGAGGCTGTGCAGCATTTCCAGGCTCCAAAGTGGTGTTTGTGATGGTGAAATCCCTAGAATTTTGGTTAGATGTGTTTTCTCACTTGTGAATACCTTCTGTAGACCTGTCATTCTGTGCTTTACAAACTCTTTTCTGTAAACTATCTATTCTTTGTTTTTGGACTTTTGGGTTAAGAATGTAATTTTAATTGTACTATCTTTAGTCTCCACACTGCTGATTGTGGAAGTGAAATCAACGTATTTTTGGTTGGATGTGTGTTCTCACTCATGAATATGTGTAGAAAAGTCCTCTGAAGACTTGTCTATCTTTGTATGTGTGACAGATTCTTTCTATATACCATGCCTTCATTATTTATTTATTTTTTGATTTTTCTCCTGGGGAATACTGTTTTAACTTCACTTACCATGGTGTGGATCATCCTAGAATAGACAATCATTTCTGATGGGTTTGATTATTTTAACCAGAAACAAAGGTATTTTGTCCTATGGGTGCAAACACTTCTATGTGTTGATTATATCACCTCATGAAATGGAACTGATTTGCCCATGATTCGTTCATAAATATTTCTGAAGAATTATTTTAAGTGACACCATGCAGGCCGGGCGCGGTGGCTCACGCCAGTAATCCCAGCACTTTGGGAGGTCAAGACGGGTGGATCATGAGGTCAGGAGATCGAGACCATGGTGAAACCCCGTCTCTACTAAAAATACAAAAAATTAGCCGGGCACAGTGGCGGACACCTGTAGTCCCAGCTACTCAGGAGGCTGAGGAAGGAGAATGGCTTGAACCCGGGAGGTGGAGTTTGCAGTGAGCCGAGATCACGCCACTGCACTCCAGCCTGGGTGACAGAGCAAGACTCAGTCTCAAGATAAGAGAAAACAAAACAAAACAAAACAAAACAAAATATATATATATATGCACACACACATATATATACACACATATATATACATATATATACATATATACATTTACTTATTTCAAAACCTTTTATTTTTTGTGATAATTTGGTACCCAAATTGTCATTTCTAAATGACCAGTAAGTTTCAAAAGGAATCTTCCTACTTTGGGGCAACGATGTAAGGGTTGAAAGGCTAAAGAACCACTGCAAGAACCTGGAGAGAAAACAATACAAAAGTTTATATTAATAACATCAGAGAACAGTAGAAGAAATGAGAACTAAGTGACCTAAAATTCCAAAGTGAAAAGCATCCCTTCTAGTTTAGCTGATGCTGGCCTGACTCTTTGTCCTCCTGCCATATCTGCCAAGTTTGCATGTGGACACAGTCTCTCTCTTGGCACAAGCAGAGGAACTCTCCTCAGAAAGGAGAATCAGATTGACCATCAGGAGTTGCACAGAGCAGCCTCTATACATGGCCCGTGTCCTCCGTAGGGCATTTGCTGAGGTCTGAATCATCAGGCAGGCTGTAGGAGATGGGCTAGAAGAACATAAAACTCCCACGGACTCAGCATGTTCTTCCAAATCCCCAAAGATGCACAGAGCATCCTGAATACATGTCTGAATCGTGCACATTGACCTCGAACCACACTGATCCCCTGCAAGTGTAGACCCTGCCTGGCCTTGTGCTCTGCATGTCAGTGGTTGTGACATCTCCAGACCGAACCAGTGGTCTCTGCTAAACCTCCTCTAGGGGCAGAATGAGTTTCAGAAGCTCTGCTTTGCTGTTGGGATTTGACTTAGGACTGAGTGACATTACCTCAGGTCTCCTTGCACAGGGACTTCACTAAATCTTTGGTGATTACACACCTAAAGCACTACTCACGACTTTACTTTCCTGTGAGACTTCCAGTGGCACAGGCTCCACCCAGGAAGCCAGGCAGCAGAGCCTTCAACTCTGTGGTTCTTCACAAGTATCATATTTGGCTCCTTTGTGGGTCCACATCAACTGCCATCACCACCACCAACCGCATCCCACCCACCATAACCCAAGGCAGTTTAGTTAAACAATAACTGACCTCTCCTGTATTCCCCGAATGCTCCCATTCCTGCAGTCTGTCCAGTGTTGAATTCTGCACTATGGGGAACAAAAAGGTTTTTATCATCCTTTACTTTCCCAGTGATTCATGGAAAATACTACATCTTTAGGATACTACATCTTTCAGGATTTGCTTTTTACTTTTAAAACCAACTTTTGGAATTTCAATTACTCCCTTTTTCTATCAGCGAGAGACAATTGTAATAAAATAATTTTACTATTAGGATCTTGCATCTGACATGAAATTACAAAATCTATTTGGCATTCACAACCAAGGTGTTACTAATTGTCCTCAGCCAGCTCTCCCTGAGGATAACTAGAGGAGAATGCCGTCTCTACTGTCTTACGGAGTGAGCAATAAGTGTTAAATAGAAAAACAGGGAAGTTGAAAAAGTAGGAAAGCACTTGGATTTGGATAAAACTGAACACAGATTTGCACCCATTATATCTCACACCTTTAACAGGGGCCAAGGCATATCAGCCTGGTGCAGTAGCAGAGGAAGTGGATTGAACTACATCAGCATCAGTGGGCTTCAGCCTGGGGTTCTGGGGAGTATTACTGATGCCTGACTGGGAGTGGTCAAATCACTGTGGCGGAGCCCCTGCACACACCCTCCTGTTGCCTATTCAGGGGCCCAAATTTTGAGGAACTTACTCATTTAGAGAGAAAAAGGGAAACTTCTCATTTGCCCTCTAAAGGTTTGCAGAAAATGAACGGACAAAACGCAAATTAATGGAAGGAAGAGGCAAAAAAAAAAAAAAATTCTGTAAAATGTAGGGGAAAAATCACAGGGTCTCACTCGGTTACCCAACATGAAGTGCAGTGGTGTGATCATGGCTCATTGAAAACTTGAATTCTCAAGCACAAGCGATTCTCCCACCTCAGCCTATGGAGTAGCTGGGATCACAGGGGCGTGCCACCATGCCCACATACATGCATATTTGCTGGAGGGGAGATGGAGACTCTGTCCTGGATGTGAGATAGGTGGCTGGCATCTGGGTAAGGATGACATTCCTTCATTGCTCAATGACATTCCCTCATTCCATTCCATCCCATTCCATTCCATTCCATTCCATTCCATTCCATTCCATTCCATTCCATTCCATTCCATTCCATTCCATTCCATTCGTGTTGATTCCATTCCATTCCATTCCATTCTATTGCATTCCATTCCATTTCATTCCATTCCGTTGCATTCCATTCCATTCTATTCCATTCCATTCCACTCGGGTTGATTCCATTCCATTGCATTTCCTTTCTTCCATTCCATTCCATTCCACTCGTGATGATAAAATTCCATTCCACTCCCTTCCATTCCATTGCATTCCATTCCTTTCAACTCGGGTTGATTCCATTCCATTCCATTCCATTTCCTTCTATTCCATTCCTTTCCACTCGGGTTGATTCCATACAATTCCACTCCTTTCCATTCCATTCCATTCCATTCCATTGCACACAGGTAGATTCCATTCCATTCCATTCCATTCCATTCCATTCCATTCCATTCCATTCCATTCCATATCATTCCACTCGGGTTGATTCCATTCCATTCCATTTCATTCCATTCCGTTCCGTTCTACTGAGGTTGATTAAATTCCATTTCATTCCATTCCATTCCAATAAATTCCATTCAATTCCATTCCATTTCACTCGGGTTGATTCAATTCAATTCCATTCCATTCCATTCCATTCCATTCCTTTCCTTTTCATTAAATTCAGGTTGATTCCATTCCATTCGAATCCATTCCATTGCACTCCATTCCATTCCCTTTCGTTGCACTCAGGTCAATTCTATTCCGTTCTATTCCATTGCATTCCATTCCACTCGGGTTGTTTCCATTCCATCCCTTTCCCTTACATTCCTTTAAGTTTCTTTCCATTCCATTCCACTCGGGTTGATTCCATTCCATTCCATTCCATTCCATTCCATTCCATTCCATTCCATTCCATTCCATTCCATTCTATTCCATTCCACTCGGGTTGATTCCATTCCATTCCATTCCATTCCATATCATTCCACTCAGGTTGATTCCATTCCATTCCATTTCATTCCATTCCATTCCGTTCTACTGAGGTTGATTAAATTCCATTCCATTCCATTCCATTCCAATAAATTCCATTCAATTCCATTCCATTTCACTCGGGTTGATTCAATTCCATTCCATTCTATTCCATTCCATTCCATTCCTTTCCTTTTCATTAAATTCAGGTTGATTCCATTCCATTCGAATCCATTCCATTGCACTCCATTCCATTCCCTTTCGTTGCACTCAGGTCAATTCCATTCCGTTCTATTCCATTGCATTCCATTCCACTCGGGTTGTTTCCATTCCATTCCTTTCCCTTACATTCCTTTAAGTTTCTTTCCATTCCATTCCATTCCACTCGGGTTCATTCCATTCCATTCCATTCCATTCCATTCCATTCCATTCCATTCCATTCCATTCCATTCCATTCGTGTTGATTCCATTCAATTCAGTTCCATTGTATTGCATTCCATTCCATTTCATTCCATTCCATTCCATTCCATTCCATTCCATTCCATTCCATTCCATTCCACTCGCTTTTATTAAATTCCTTTCCATTCCATTCTATTCCTTTCCTATCCAATCAATTCCATTCCATTCCATTCCACTCACGTTGATTCCATTCCATTCTGTTACATTTCATTCCTTTCCATTCCACTCGGGTTGATTCCATTCCATTCCGTTCCATTTCATTCCATTCCACTCTATTCCATTCCATTCCATTCCATTCCATTCCATTCCATTCCATTCCATTCCATTCCATTCCATTCCATTCTAGTCGGGTTGATTCCATTCCATTCCATTCCATTCTATTGCATTACATTCCATTCTATTCCATTCAATTCCATTGCATTCCATTCGTGTTGATTCCATTCCAATTCATTCTATTCCATTCCATTCCACTCGGGTTGATTGCATTCCATTCCATTCCATTCCATTCCGTTCCGTTCCATTCCATTCCATTCCATTCCATTCCATTTCGTTCCATTCCATTTCGTTCCGTTTCATTTCTTTCCATTCCCTTCCTATTGATTCCATTCCATTGCTTACAAATCATTTACTTTCCATTCCATTCATTCCATTCAATTACACTCGGGTTGATTCTATTCCATTCCATTCCATTCCGTTCCATTCCATTCCATTCCTTTCCATTCCACTCGCGGTTATCCAATTCCTTTCCATTCAATTCTATTCCATTCCTATCCATATCGTTCCATTCCTTTCAATTCTATTCCATTCCATTCCACTCACGTTGATTCCATTCCATTCAGTTCCATTTCATTCCGTTCCATTCCATTCCATTCCATTCCATTCCATTCCATTCCATTCCATTCCATTCCACTCAGGTTGATTCCATTGCATTCCACTCCATTCCGTTCCATTGCATTGCATTCCAATTGATTCGATTCCATTGCTTTCCATTCCACTGGGGTTGATTCCATTCCATTCCATTCCAATCCATTCCATTCCATTCCAGTCCATTCCATTCCAGTTGATTCCACTCGGGTTGATTCGATTCTGTTGAATTCCATTCCATTCCATTCCATTCCATTCCATTCCATTCCATTCCATTCCATTCCATTCCACTCTGGTTGATTCCATTCCTTTTCATTCCATTCCATTCCATTCCATTCGGGTTGTTTCCATTCCATGCCATTCCATTCTATACCATTCCCTTTCATTCCATTCCTTTCAATTCCATTCCATTCCATTCCATTCCATTCCATTCAATTAGATTCCATTCTATTCAATTCCATTCGATTCTATTCTACTGACGTTGATTCCTTTCCATTCCATTTCATTTCATTCCATTCCATTCTATTCCATTTCAAACCATTCCAATCCATTCCATTCCATTCCATTCCATTCAATTCCATTCCTTTCTATTGCATTCCACTCGTGTTCATTCCATTCCATTTCATTCCTTCCATTCCAATCCATTCCATTCCACTCGAGTTGATTCCATTCCTTTAAATTCCATTCCATTCTATTCCATTCAACTCCATTCCATTCCACTCGGGTTGATTCCATTCCTTTCATTCCATTTTATTCCATTCCATTCTATTGCAATCCATTTCCTTCCATTCCACTCGGTTTGATTCCACTCCATTCCATTCCATTCCATTCCATTCCATTCCATTCCATTCCATTCCATTCCATTCCATTCCATTCCATTCCATTCCTTTCTACTCCATTCTATTCCATTCCAATCGGGTTGATTCCATTCCATTTCATTCGTGTTGATTCCATTCCATTCCATTCCATTTTATTGCATTCCATTCCATTTCATTCCATTCCATTGCATTCCATTCCATTCCACTTGGGTTGATTCCATTCCATTGCATTCCCTTTCCTTCCTTTCCATTGCATTCCACTCGTGATGATAAAATTCCATTCCACTCCCTTCCATTCCGTTCCATTCCATTCCATTCAACTCGGTTTGATTCCATTCCATTCCATTCCATTTCCTTCTATTCCATTCCTTTCCACTCGGGTTGATTCCATACCATTCCACTACTTTCCATTCCATTCCATTCCATTCCATTCCACACAGGTAGATTCCATTCCATTCCATTCCATTCCATTCCATTCCATTCCATTCCAATCCATTCCATTCCAATCCATTCCATTCCATCCCATTCCATTCCATTCCATTCCATTCCATTCCATTCCATTCCATATCATTCCACTCGGGTTGATTCCATTCCATTCCATTTCATTCCATTCCATTCCGTTCTACTCAGGTTGATTAAATTCCATTCCATTCCATTCCATTCCAATAAATTCCATTCAATTCCATTCCATTCCACTCGTGTTGATGCAATTCCATTCCATTCCATTCCATTCCATTCCATTCCATTCCATTCCTTTCCTTTAAATTCCATTCAGGTTGATTCCATTCCATTCGAATCCATTCCATTGCACTCCATTCCATTCCCTTTCGTTCCACTCAGGTTGATTCCATTCCATTCCATTCCATTTCATTCCATTCCACTCGGGTTGTTTCCATTCCATTCCTTTCCCTTACATTCCTTTAAGTTTCATTCCATTCCATTCCATTCCACTCGGGTTGATTCCATTCCCTTCTATCCCATTTCATTCCATTCCATTCCATGCCATTCCATTCCTTTCCATTCCACTCGGTTTGATTCTATTCCATTCCATACCATTCCATTCCATTCCATTCCATTCCATTCCATTCCATTCCATTCCATTCCATTCCATTCCATTCCATTGCATTCCGTTCCGTTCCATTCCATTCCATTCCACACGGGTTGATTCCATTCCATTCCATTCAATTCCATTCCACTCCATTCCATTCTAATCTTGTTGATTCCATTCCATTCAATTCAATTCAATTCCTTTTCATTCCATTCTATCCTACTCTGTTTCATTGCGTTCCATTCCATTCTATTCCAATCCATTACATTACATTACATTCCACTCGGGTTGATTCCATTCCAATCCATTCCATTCCATTCCATTCCATTGCATTCCATTCCATTCCCATCGATTCCATTCCACTCATTTTGATACCATTCCAAAACATTAAATACGATTCCATTCCATTCCATTCCACTCGGGTTGATTACATTCCAATTCATTCCATTCCATTGCATTCCATTCCATTGCATACCATTCCATTCCATTCCATTCCATTCCATTCCAATCCATTCCATTCCATTCCATTCCATTCCACTCGGATTTTTTCAATTCAATTCCATTCAATTCCAATCCATTGTATTCCATTCTACACGGGTTGATTCCATTCAATTACATTCTATTCCGTTCCATTAAATTCCAAACCATTCCATTCGTGTTGATTGCATTCCATTCCATTCCATTCCATTCCATTCCATTCCATTCCATTCCATTCCATTCCATTCCATTGCATTCCATTCTTCTCCATTCCCTTCCATTCCATTCCATTCCATTTCATTACATTCCATTCCATTCGGGTCGATTCCTTTCCATTCCAATTCTTGCCATTGCTTTCCATTCCATTCCATTCCATTCCATTCCATTCCATTCCATTCCATTCCACTCGGGTTGATTCCATTCCATTAAATTCCATTCCATTCCATTCCATTCCTTTCCCTTCCACTCCATTCCATTCCAATTTTGTTGATTCCATTCTATTGAATTCCATTCCATTCCATTCCATTCCATTGCATTCCATTCCATTGCAGTTGATTCCATTCCATTCCATTCTATTCCATTCCATTCCATTCCACTCAGGTTGATTTCATTCCTTTCCAATCCATTCCATTCTATTCCAGTCGTGTTGATTCCATTCCATTCCATTCTAATCCATTCCATTCCATTCCAATCCACTCAGATTTATTTCATTCCATTCCATTTCGTTCCATTCCATTCCATTCCATATCATTCCTTTCCACTAGGGTTGATTCCATTCCATTCCATTCCATTCCATTCCATTCCATTCCTTTTGATTCCAATCCTTTCCATTCTATTCCATTCCCTTCCATTCCATTCCATTGCATTCCAATCCATGTCATTTCCCTCGGATTGACTCCATTCCATTCCATTCCATTACATTCCTTTCCAATCCACTCGGGTTGATTCCATTCTGTTCCATTCCATTCCATTCCATTCCTTTCCATTCCACTAGGGTTGATTCCATTCCATTCTATTCAATTCCATTCCATTGCACTCGGGTTGATTCCATTCCATTCCATTCCATTCCATTCCATTCCATTCCATTCCACTCGGGTTGGTTCCAATCCATACAATTCCATTCCCTTCCATTCCAATCAGGTTGAATCCTTTCCATTCCATTCCATTCCATTCCATTCCATTCCATTCCATTCCATTGCATTCCATTCCACTTGGGTTCATTCCATTCCATTCCATTCCATTCCATTCCATTCCATTCCATTCCATTGCATTCCATTCCACTTGGGTTCATTCCATTCCATTCCATTCCATTCCATTCCATTCCATTCCCTTCCTTTCCATTCCGTTCCATTCCACTCGGGTTGATTTCTTTCCAGTCCATTTTATTCCATTCCATTCCAGTTGATTCCATTCCATTCCATTCCATTAAATTCCATTCTATTACTCTCGGGTTGATTTCATTCCATTCCATTCCATTCCATTCCATTCCACTCGGGTTGATTCCCTTCCCTTCGATTCCATTCCATTCCATTCCATTCCATTCCATTCCATTCCATTCCTGTTGATTCCATTCCATTCCATTACATTCCTTTCCATTCCATTCCACTCCGTTTGACTCCATTCCATTCCATTTCATTCCATTCCGTTCTATTCCATTCCATTCCATTCCATTCCATTCCATTCCATTCCACTCGGGTTGATTCCATTTCATTACATTCCTTTCAATTCCATTCCATTACATTCCATTCCATTTCACTCGTGTTCATTCCATTCCATTCCATTCCATTCTACTCGGGTTGATTTCATTCCATTACATTTCATTCCATTCCATTCCAATCCAGTCCATTTCACTGAGAATGATACCATTCCATTCCAATCCCTTCCCTTCCATTCCATTCCATTCCAGTTGTTTCGATTCTATTCCATTCCATTCCATTCCATTCCACTCGTGTTGATTCCATTCCATTTCATTCCATTCCAGTTAATTCCATTACTTTCCTTTACATTTCATTACATTCCACTGGTGTTAATTCTATTTCATTCCATTCCATTCCATTCCATACCATTCCATTCCTTTCAGTTCCCTTCCATTGCATTCCATTCCATTCCATTCCACTCGAGTTGATTCCTTTCCTTTCCATTCCATTCTAATCCATTCCATTCCATTCCAATCCATTCCATTCAATTCCAGTCCATTCCATTGCATTCAATTCCATTCCTTTCATTTCCACTCGGGATGTTTCCATTCCATTCCATTCCATTCCATTCCATTCCATTTCATTCCACTCAGTTTGAATTGGAAAGGAATGGAATCATCACGAGTGGAATGCAACGGAATGCAATGGAATGGATTGGAATCGAATGGAATGAACCAGAGTGGAACGGAATGGAATGGAATGGAATGGAATGGTATCAAATCAACCCGAGTAGAATGGAATGGAATGGAATCAAATGGAAAGGAATCAACCCCAGTGGAATAGAATGGAATGGAATGGAATGGAATGGAATGGAATGGAATGGAATCAACCAGAGTGGAATTGTATGGAATGGAATGGAGTGGAATGGTATATAATGGAATGGAATGGAATGCAATAAACCCGAGAGGACTTTAATGGAAAGGAACGGAATGGAATGGAATAGAATGAAATGGAATCAACCCGAGTGGAATGCAATGCAATGCAAAGACATAGAATGGAATGGAAAGAAATGAAATGGAATGGAATCAACCAGGGTGGAATGGAATGGAATCTAATGGAATGGAATGGAATGGAAAGGAATCAACACGAGTGGAATGGAATTCAATGGAAAGGAATGGAATGGAAACAACCCGAGTGGAAAGGAATGGAGTGGAATGGAATGGAATGAAAAGGAATGGAATGGAATCAACGAGAGTGGAGTAGAATGGAATTGAAAAAAATGGAATGGAATCAACTGGAATGGAAGTTAATGTAATGTAATGTTATGTAATGTAATGGATTTGAATCAACACGAGTGGAATGGAATTGAATGGAATGGAATGGAATGGAATCAACGCCAGTGGAATGGAATGGAATGGAATTCAATGGAATGGAATCAAAGCGAGTGGAGTGGAATGGAATAGAATGTAATGGAAGGGAATGGAATCAACCCGAGTGGAATGGAATGGAATGGAATAGAATCAACGTGAGTGGAATACAATGGAATGCAATGTAATGTAAAGGAGTGGAATGGAGAGGAACGGAATGGAATGGAATCAACTGGAATGGCATGGAATGGAATGGAATGAAAAGGAATGGAATTGAATCAATCCGAGGGGAATGAAATGGAATGAAATGGAGTTGAATGGAATGGAATGGAATGGAATGGATTGGAATAAACCCGAGTGGAATGGTATGAAATCGAATGTAAAGGAAAGGAATGGAATGGAATGGAATGGAATGGAATGGAATGGAATGGAAAGGAATAAACCTGAATGGAATGGAATGGAATGGTATCAACCCTAGTGGAATGGAATGCAATGGAATGGAATGGAATGGAATGGAATGGAATGGAATCAACACGAGTGGAAAGGCATGCTATGCAATGGAATCAACCCCAGTGAAATAAAATGGAATAGAAAGGAATGGAATGGAATCAACACAATTGGAATGGAATGGAATGGAAAGGAATGGAATAGAATCAATACGAATGGAATGGAATGGAATGGAATGGAATAGAATCAATACGAATGGAATGGAATGGAATGGAATGGAATGGAATGGAATGGAATAGAACGGAATGGAATAGAACGGAATGGAATGGAATAGAATCAATCTGAGTGGAATGGAATGGAATGGCCTGGAATGGAACGGAACTGAATTGAATGGAATTAACCCGAGTGGAATTGAAGGGAATGGAATAGAATCAATCTGAATGGAATGGAATGGAATGGAATGGAATCAACTGAAATGGAATGGAAGGGAATCGAATGGAATTGAATTAAATGGAATGGAATGAATAGTAATGGAATGGAAACAACCAGAGTGGAAAGGTATGGAATGGAATGGAATGGAATCAATCCTAGTGGAATGGAATGGAATGGAATGGAATGGAATGGAATGGAATGGAATGGAATGAAATGGAATGAAATGGAATGCAATCAACCCGAGTGGAAAGTATTCGAATGGAATGGAGTGGAATGGAATGAAATGGAATGGAATCAATCTGAGTGGAATGGAATGGAATGGAATGGAATGGAACGGAGTTGAATGGAATGGAATGGAATCAACACGAGTGGAATGGAATGGAATGGAATGGAATGGAATGCAATGGAATGGAATCAACAGGAATGGAATGGAATGGAATGGAAAGAAGCGGAATGGAATGGAATGGAATGGAATCAACCGGAGTTGAATGGAATGGAGTGGCATGGAATGGAATGGAATTGAATTGAATCAACCCGAGTGGAATGGAATGGAAGGGAATGGAAAGGAATGGCATCAACCCGAGTGGAAAAGAATAGAATGGAATGGAATCAATCCGAGTGGAATGGAATCAATGGAATGAAATGGAATGTTATGGAATTGTGTGGAATTAACACGAGTCGAATGGAATGGAATGGAATGGAAAGGAATAGAAGGGACTGGAATGAAATCAATCAGTGTGGAGTGGAATGGAATGGAATGGAAAGAAATGGAATGGAACCAACCCGAATGAAATGGAATGGAATGGAATGGAATGGAATGGAATCAACCCGAGTGGAATGAAATGGAAAAGAATGGATAGGAACGGAATTGAATCAACCCGAGAGGAATGGAATGGAATGGAATGGAATGGAATAGAATTGAATGGGATGGAATGGAATCAAAACGTGTGGAATGGAATGTAATTGTATGGAATTTAATGGAACGGAATGGAATGCAATGGAATGGTGTGAACCAGAATGGAATGGAATTGAATGAAATGGAAAGGAATGGAATCAACCCGAGTGGAATGGAATGAATGGAATGGAATTGAATGGAATGGAATGGAATCAACCAGAGTGGAATGGAATGGAATGGAATGGAATGGATTGGAATGGAATATACCGGAGTGGAATAGAATGGAATTTACCGAACGGAATGGAATGGAATGAAATGGAATGGAATGGAATCAAGCCGAGTGGAATGGAATGGAATGGAATGGAAAGAATACAATGGAATGAAATGGAATGGAATCAACCCGAGTGGAATGGAATGGAATGGAATGGAATGGAATGGAATGGAATGGAATGGAATGGAATGGAATCATCCCGAGGGGAATGGACTGGAATGGAATGGAAAGGAATGGAATCAACGCGAATGGAATGGAATGGAATAGAATGGAATGGAATGGAATGGAAAAAACTGGAATGGTATGAAATGGAATGGAATGGAATGGAATCAACACGAGTAGAATGGTAAGGAATGGAATGGAATGAAATGGAATGGAATCGAATGGAATGGAATGGAATGGAATCAAACCGAGTTGAATGGAATGGAATAGATTGGAATGGAATGGAAAGGATTAGAATCATCCCGAGTGGAATGAAATGGAATGGAATGGAATGGAATGGAATCAACTGGAATGGAAGTTTATGGAATGGAATGCAACAGAATGGAACGGAAGGTAATCAAACCGATTGGGATGGTACGGAATGGTATGTAATGCAATCCAATGGAATGGAAAAACGCGAGTGGAATGTAATGTAATGTAATGTAATGGAATGGAATGGAATGGAATCAACCCAAGTGAATGGAATGGAATGGAATGGAATGGAATGGAATGGAATAGAATGCAATCAACCCGAGTGGCATGGAGTAGAATGGAATGGCACGGAATGGATTGGAATGGAATGGAATGGAATCAACTGAAATGGAATGGAATGGTTTGGAATGGAACGGAATGGAATGGAATCAACACGAGGGGTATGGAATGGAATGGAATGGAAACAAATGGAATTGAATCAACTAGAATGCAATGGAATGGAATGGAATGGAATGGAATGGAATGGAATGGAATGGAATGGAATGAACCCGAGTGGAATGGAATGGAAAGGATTGGAATGGAATGAAATTAAGTCAACCCGAGAGGGACGGAATGAATTGGAATGGAATGGAACGAAATGGAACCGAATGCAATGGATTCAACCTGAGTGGAATGGAATGGAATGGATTGGAGTGGAATGGAATGGAATGGAATCAACCCGAGTGGAATGGAATGGAATGAAATGAGATGGAATGGAATGGAATGGAATGGAATGAACCCGAGTGGAATGGAATGGACTTGAATGGAATGTAATGGAATGGAATCGACACGAGTTTAATGGAATGGAATGGAAAGGAATGGAATGGAAAGGAATGGAATCAACCCGAGTGAAAAGGAATGGAATGGATTGGAATGGAATGAAATGGAATGGAATGGAATCAACCCTAGTGGAATGCAATGGAATGGAATGGAATGGAATGGAATGGAATGAAATGAAATCAAACCGAGTGGAATGGAATGGAACGGAATGGAATGGAGTGGAATGGAATGGAATGGAATGAAATGGAATGGAATGGAATGGAATCAACCCGAGTGGAACGGAATGGAATGGAGTGGAATGGAATGGAATGGAATGGAATGGAATGGAATCAAACCGAGTGGAATGGAATGGAATGGAATGGAATGGAATGGAATGGAATGGAATGGAGTTGAATGTAATGGAATCCATCCGAGTGGAATGGAATGAAATGGAATGGAATGCAATGAAATCGAATGGAATGGAGGGGAATGAAAAGGAATGGAACCAATACGAGTGGAAAGGAATGGAATAGAATGGAATGGAATGGAATAGAATTAACGCGAGTGGAATGGAACGCAATGGAATGGAATGGAAAGGAATGGAATCAACTGGAGTGGAATGCACTGGAATGGAAAGGAATGGAATTGAATGGAATATAATGGAATGGAATGGAATGGAATCAACCAGAGTGGAATGGAATGGAATGAAATGGAATGGAATAGAAACAACCCATGTGGAATGCAATGGAATGCAATGGAATGGAATGGAATGGAAATGAATCAACCCGAGTGGAATGTAATGTAATGTAATGGAATGGAATGGAATCAACTCGAGTGGAATGGAATGGAATGGAATGAAATGGAAAGGAATCAACTCTAGTGGAATAGAATGGAAAGCAATGGAATGGAATGGAATGGAATCAACGTGAGTGGAATGGAATTGAAAGGAATGGAATGCAATGGAATGGAATGGAATGGAATGGAAGGCAATGGAATGAAATGGAAAGAAATGGAATCAACACGAGTGTAATGGAAGGCAATGGAATGAAATGGAAAGAAATGGAATCAACACGAGTGTAATGGAATGCAATGGAACAGAGTAGAAACAACTCGAGTGGAATGGAATGGAATGGAATGGAATTCAATGGAATGGAACTGAATGGAATCAACCTGAGAGTAATGGCCTGGAATGGAAAGGAATGGAAAGGAAAGGAATCAAACCGATTGCAATGGAATGGAAATGAATGGATTGCAATAGAATTGAATCAACCCGAGTGGAATGGAATGGAATGAAATGGAATGGAATCAACCCGATTGGAATGGAAGGGAATGGAATGGAATGGAACAGAATGGAATCAACCCGAGTGGAATGGAAGGGAATGGAATGGAATGGAACAGAATGGAATCAACCCGAGTGGAATGGAATGGAATTGAATTGGATGGAATGGAATATAATGGAATGGAATGGAATGGAATCAACCCAAGTTGAACGGAATTGAATGGAATAGAATGGAACAGAATGGAATCGACCCGAGTGGAATGAAATGGAATGGAATCGAATAGAATGGAATGGAATGGAATGGAATGCAATGGAATCAACCCGTGTGAAATGGAATGGAATGGAATGGAATAGAATGGAATGGAATCAACCCAAGCGAAATGGAATGAAATGGAATGGAATGGAATGGAATGGAATCTAACCGAGTGGAATGGAATGGAATAGAATGGAATTGAATATAATGGAATCGAATGTAATCAACACGAGTGGAATAGAGTGGAATGGAATGGATTGGAATAGAATGGAATGGAATGGCATGGAATGGAATAGAATCAACCTGAGTGGAATGGAATGGAATGGAATGGAATGGAATGGAATGGAATGGAATGGAATGGAATGGAATGGAATCAACACGAATGGAATGGCATGGAATGGAATGGAATCAGCTGGAATAGAATGCAATGGATTGGAATGGAATGGAATGGAATGAAATGGAACGGAATGGAATGGAATCAACCCGAGTGGAATGGAATGGAATGGAATTGAGTTCAGTGGAATGGAATCAACCCGAGTGGAATGGAATGGAATAGAATGGAATGGAATGGAATGGAATGGAATGGAATGGAATGGAATCAACCTGATTGGAATGGAATGGAATGGAATGGAATGGAATCAACCCGAGTGGAATGGAAAGGAATTGAATGGAATGAAATGGAATGGAATGGAATAGAATTTAAAGGAATGAAATCAACTGGAATGTAATGGAATGGACTGGAATTGAGTGGAATCATCACGACTGGAATGCAATAGAATGGAATGGAATGGAATGGAATGGAATGGAATGGAATTGAATGGAATCAACTGTAAAGGAATGGAATGGAATGCAATATAATGGAATGGCATGGAATGGAATGGAATGGAATTGAATGGAATCAACACGCATGGAATGGAAAGGAATGGATTGGCATTTAAGGGATTCAACTTGAATGGAATGGAATGGAATGGAATCAACCCGAGCGGAATGGAATGAAATTGAATGGAATTGAATGGAATTGAATCAACCTGTGTGGAATGGAATGGAAGGGAATGGAATCGTATGGAATGGAATATAATGCAGTGAATTGTAATCAACCCGAGTGGAATAGAGTGGAATGGAAAGGAATGAAATGGAATGGAATGGAATGGAATGGAATGGAATGGAATGGAATCAAACCTAGTGGAATGGAATGGAATGGAATGGAATGGAATGGAATCAACTGGAATGGAATGGAATGGAATGCAATGCAACTGAATGGAATGGGATGGAATCAACCCGAGTGGAATGGAATGGAATGGAATGCAGTGGAATGGAATGGAATGGAAAGGAATGGAATGGAATGGATTGGAATCAACCCGGGTGGAATGGAATGGAATGGAATGGATTAGAATGGAATGGAATGGAAGGGAAGGGAAAGGAATGGAATGGAATGGAATTAACCTGAGTGGAATGGAATGGAAGTGAATGGAATTGAGTCAACCCGAGTGGAATGGAATGGAATGGAATGGAATGGAATGGATTTGAATGAAATCAACCCAAGTGGAATGGAATGGAATGGAATCAACCCTAGTGGAATGGAATGGAATGGAATGGAATGGAAAGGAATCAACTGGAATGGAATCAAATGGAATGCAATGCAATTGAATGGAATGGAATGGAAACAACAAGAGTGGAATGGAATGGAATGGAATAGAATGAATTGGAATTGAATTCAATCAACCCGAGTGGAATGGAATGGAATGGATTGGAATGGAATGGAATGGAATGGAATCAACATGAATGGAATGGAATGGAATGGAAGGGAATGCAATGGAATGGAATGGAATGGAATGGAATCAACCCGAGTGGAATGGAATGGAATGGAATATAATGGAGTGGAATCAATCAGAGTGGAATGGAATGGCATGGAATGGAATGGAATGGAATCAAGTAGAGTGGAATGGAATGGAATGGAATGAAATGGAATGGAATGGAATCAAATGGAATGCAGTTGAATTGAATTGGATGGAATGAAACGGACTCGAATCTAACAGAATGGAATAGAACGGACTCGAATGGAATGGAATGTAATTGAATATATTCAAATGGAGTGGAATGGAAGGGATAGTAATAGAATGGAAAAGAATGGAAAGGCAAGACTGGAATGGAGTGGAATGGCATGGATTGGAATGGCATGGACTCGAATGGGATGTAATGGAATGGAACAGACTCGAATGGAAAGGACTGGAATGGACAAGAATGTAATGCAATGGAATGGAATGGACTCGAATGGGAAGGAATGTATAGAAATGGACTCGAGTGGAATGGAATGGAGTGGAAAGGAATGGCCTCGAATGGAACGGAAATGATTGGACCCGAAAGGAATGTAAATGAATGGAATGGAAGGGAATGGAATGGAATCAATGGGAATGCATTTGAATTGATTGGACCCGAACGCAATGGAAAGGAATGGAATGGAATGGAAATGTATGAAATGAAATATACTCTACTGGAATGGAGTGGAACAGAATGGACTCAAATGAATTGGAATGTATTTGAATGAAATGGAACGTAAAGGAGTCGAGTCGAGTGGAATGGGATGGAACTGAATTTGATGGACACGAATGAGATTGAATGCAGTGGAATGGTCTCGAGTGGAATGGAATGGAATGGAATAGACACGAATGGAATGGAATGTAATTGTATGCAATGGAATGGAATGAAATGGAATGTAATGGAATGGTAAGGAATGGAATAGAATGGAATGGATTCGAATTGAATGCAGTTGATGAGAATGGACCCGAAAGGAATGGAACGGAATGGAACGGAATGGAATGGACTGGAATGGAATGGAAAGGAATGGAATGGAGTGGAATGGAAAGGAACGGAATGGAGTGGAATGGAATGGAACGGAAGGGAAGGGAAAGGAATGGAAAGGAATGGAATCAACCCGAGTGGAATGGAATGGAAGTGAATGGAATTGAGTCAACCCGAGTGGAAAGGAATGGAATGGAATGGAATGGAATGGAATTGAATTGAATCAACCCGAGTGGAATGGAATGGAATGGAGTGGAATCAACCCTAGTGGAATGGAATGGAATGGAATGAAACGGAATCAACTGGAATGGAATCGAATGGAATGCAATGCAATTGAATGGAATGGAATGGAATCAACAAGAGTGGAATGGAATGGAATGGAATGGAATGGAATGGAATGGAATGGAATAAAATGAAATGGAATCGAATTCAATCAACCCGAGTGGAATTGAATGGAATGGATTGGAGTGGAATGGAATCAAGCAGAGTGGAATGGAATGGAATGGAATGGAATGGAATGGAATGCAATGGAATGGAAAGGAATGGAATGCAATGGAATGGAATGGATTGGAATCAACCCGAGTGGAATGGAATGGAATGGAATAGACACGAATGGAATGGAATGGAATTGAATGCAATGGAATGGAATGAAATGGAATGTAATGGAATGGTAAGGAATGGAATAGAACGGAATGGATTCGAATTGAATGCAGTTGATGAGAATGGACCCGAAAGGAATGGAATGGAATGGAATGGAATGGAATGGACTGGAATGGAATGGAAAGGAATGGAATGGAGTTGAATGGAAAGGAATGGAATGGAGTGGAATGGAATGGAAAGGATTTGAATGGATTGCATTAGAATGGAAAGGAATGGAATGGGATGGAATGGAATGAAATGGAATCGAATCGAATGGAATGGAAAAAAATGAATTCAAATGAAATGGAATGGAAACGTATGGAATGGAATGCAATAGAAACCACCCAAGTGGAATAGAATGGAATTGATTGGAATGGAATCAAATGAAATGGAATGCAGTGGAATGAACTCGAATGGCTTACAGTGGAAAGGAACAAAATTGAATGGAATGGAATGGAATGCAATGGACTCGAATGGAAAGAGTTGAATGGATCCGAATGGAATGGAATAAAAAGGAATCGAATGGAGAGGAATGAACTGGAATAGAATGGAATGGAATCGACACGATTGGAATGGAATATAATGGTCTGAAATATAATTGAAAGGAATGAAATGGAATGGAATGGAATGGATTGGAATGGAATGACATGGAATGGAATAGAATGGAAGGCAATGGAATGGACTCAAATGAAATTAAATGGAATGGAGTCTAATGGAATAGAATGGACTCCAGTGGAATGGTTTGGTATTCAATGTACTCGAATGGAATGAAGAAGAATGGATTCAAATGGACTGGAAAGGAATGGAATGAAACGGACTCGAATGGAATAGAATAGATTGGAAAGTACTTGAATGGAATAGAATGGAATGGATTCGAATGGTATGGAATGGAAATAAGTCTCCACGAAATGAATGGAATAGAATAGAATGGAATGGAATGGAATGGACTGGAACGGAATTGAATGGAATGAAATCCAATGGAATGGAATGGAAATGAATCGAGTGGAGCAGAATGGAATGGACTCGAATTGGATGGAATGGAATGTAGTGGACTCGAATGGAATGGAATGGACCTGAATGGAATGGAATGGAATGCAATGGAAAGGAATGGAATGGAATGGACTCTAGTGGAATGGAATGGAAGGGAATCGAATGGGATGGAATGCAATGTAGTGGACTCGAATTAAATGGAATGGAATGGACCTGAATGGAATGCAATGGAATGGAATGGACTCGTATGTAATGGAATGGAATGGAAAGGAAAGGAATGG
Source organism: Homo sapiens (assembly GCF_000001405.40). NCBI lineage: Eukaryota > Metazoa > Chordata > Mammalia > Primates > Hominidae > Homo > Homo sapiens. The sequence continues at coordinate 467,378 of NW_012132915.1, forward strand.
ACTCTAATCAGTAGGAATGCAATGGAATGGATTCGAAAGGATAGGAATGGAATGGACCCGAATCGAATGGAATGGAATGAAATGGAATGGAATGGAATGGAAATGAATGGAATGGAAAGGAATGGACTTGAGTGGAATGGAAAGGAATGGTCTCGAATGGAATGGATGTAATGGAATGGACTCAAATGGAATGGAGAGTAATGGACCAGGATATAATTTTAATGGAATGAAATGGAATGGACTCTAATTTAATGAAATTTAATGGAACCACGTGGAAACGAATGTACTCGAATGGAACGGAATGGTGTGGAATGGAATGGAAACTAAATGAACTGAACGGAATGAAATGGAATTTAATGGAATGGTATGTAATGGAATCGAATGTAATGGAATGGTTTGGAATGGAATGGACTCGAAAGGGATGGAATGAAATGGATTGTACTGGAATGGAATGGAATGGAATCCACCCGAATGGAATAGAATGGAATGGACTCTAATGGAATGGAATTTAATCCACCCGAATGGAATGGAACGGAATGGAATTGAAAGGTATGGAATGGAATGGACTTCAATGGAATATAATGGATTGGAATTGACTTGAAGGGAACAGAATGGAAAGGATTCGAGTGGTCTTGAAAGGAATGGAATGGAATGTACTTGAATGGAATGGAATGGAAATGAATGGAATGGAATGAAATGGAATGGAATTGACATGAATTTAATACAATGAAATTTAAAGGGACGGACCTTAATGGAATGGAGTGGAATGGACTCGAATGAAATAGAATGGAATAGACTCGAATGGAATGCAATGCAATGGAATGGACTCAAATGGAATGGACACGAATGGAATTGAATGGAATAGAAAGGAATGGAAAGGAATGCAATGGAATGGACTTGAAAGGAATGGAATGGACATGAATGGAACGAAATGGAATGTAATTGACTCGAATGGAATATAATGGAATTTAGTGGAATGGACTCGAATGGAATTTAATGGAATTTAATGGAACGGACTCTAATGGAATGGAATGGAATGGCCTGAAATGGAATAGTATTGAATAGACTCGAACGAAATGGAATGCAATGGAATGTACTCGAATGGAATGGAATGGAATGCACTCGAGTGTAATGTAATGAAATTGAGTAGTCTTGAAAGCAGTGGGATGAAATGCAATGTAATGGAATCGAATGGAATGGAATGGAGTCCAATGGAAAGGAAATAAATTGAATGGAATCAAAAGCAGTGAGATGGAATGCAATGGAATGGACTCTAATGGAATGGAACGGAATGGATTCGAATGGAATGGAATGCAATGGAATGGACTCAAATGGAATAGAAGAATGGAATTCACTCGAATGGAATTGAATGGAATGGACTCATGGAATGGAATGGAATGGAATGGAATGGAATGGAATGGAATGGGATGGACACTGATGGAATGGAATGGAATGAAATTTGTTCAAATGGAATTGAAATGAATGGAATAGAAACGAATGGACTGGAATGGAATAGAATGGACTGGAGTGGAATTGCTTTGAATGGAATGGATTCAAATGTAATTGAATGGAATGGACTCAAAAGGAATACCATTGAATGGAATGAACTCGAATGGAATGGAATGACATTCAATGTACTCGAATGGAATATAATGTACGGGAATGGAATGAACTCGATTGGAATGGAATGCAATGGAATGAAATGTGCACAAATGGTTTGGAATGAAATGGAGTGGACACGAATGGAATGGACATGAACGGAACGAAATGAAATGTAATGGACTCGAATGGAATACAATGGTATTTAATGGAACGGACTTTAATGGATTTGAATGGAATGGATTCGAATGGAATAGAACGTAAGAGACTCGAATGGAATGTAATGCAATGGAATGGACTCTAGTGGAATATAATGGACTCGAATGGAATGGAATGCAATTGATTGGACTCAAAAGCAGTGGGATAGAATGAATGGAATGGACTTGAATAGAATGGAAAGGAATGTAGTCGAATGGAAAGGAAATAAATTGAATGGAAACAAAAGCAATGGGATGGAATGCAATGGAATGGAATGGAATGGAATGGAATGGACTCTAATTGAATAGAATTGAATTGACTTGATTGGAAATGAATGGAAGGTACACCAATGGAAGGGAATGGAATGTTCTCAAATGGAATGCAATGAATTTTGCTGAAATGAAATGGATTGGAATGGAATCGAAACAAAGGGAATGGAATGGAGTAGAATGTACTGCAGTGGAATTGGTTTGAATGGAATGGACTCAAATGTAATGGAATGGAATGGACTCAAATGGAATACCATTGAATGAAGGGACTCTAATGGAATGGAATGGCATTGAATGGACTCGACCGGAATGGAATGTAATGGAATGGAATTAACTCTACTGGAATGGAATTCAATGGAATGAAATGTGCTCGAATGGATTGGAATTAAATGGAATGGACTCGAATGGTATGGAATAGAATGGAATGGAATGGACTCGAATGGAATGGAATGGAATGGAATGGAATGGAATTGAATGGAAAGGAATGAACTGGAATGGAATGGAATGGAATGGAATGGAATGGACTTGAATGGAAGAGAATCGAAGGGAATGGAAAGGACTCGAATGGAAGAGAATGGAAGGGAATGGAAAGGACTCGAATGGAACGGAATGGACTCGAATTTAATGGAATGGAATGGAATGGAGTCAAACGGAATGGAATGAAATGGACTCAAGTTGAATGGAAAGGAATGGACTTGAATGACATAGAATGGAAAGGAATGGAATGGACTCGAATAAAGTGGAATGGAATGGAGTCAAAAAGAATGCAATGGATTTGAGTGGAATATAATGGAATGGACTCGAATGGAATGGAGTGGAATGGATTCGAATGGAATGGAATGCAATTGACCAGAATGGAATAGAAAGGAATGGACTCTAACGGAATGGAATTGAATGGAATATACTGAAATGTAATTGAATGGAATGGACTCCAATGGAATGAAACGAATTGAATGGAATCAAATAGAATGAAATTAAATTGAATGGAATAAACTCAAATGCAATGGAATTGAATGGAATGAAGTGGACTCAAAAGGAACGGAATGACATGGAATTGACTGTAATGAAATGGAAAGTAATTCAATGGACTCAAATGGAATGGAATGGAAGGGAATGGAATCGAATGTAATAGAAGGGAACGGAAAGTACTCAAATAGAATGGGATAGAATGGAATGGAATGGAATGGCAAAGAATGGAATGGAATGGAATGGAATGGAATAGAATGCAATGGAATGGACTCAAATGGGATGGAATGGAATGGAACAGTCTCGAATGGAAAGGAATAGAATGGACAAGAATCTAATGGAACAGAAAGGAATGGAATGGACTCGAATTGAATGGAATGGAATTAAATGGAATGGAATGGAATGAATTGGAATGGAATGGAATTAATTGGAATGGAATTGAATGGAAAGGTATGGATTGGAATGGAATGGAATGGATTGGACTTGAATGGAAGAGAATCGAAGGGAATGGAAAGGACTCGAATGGAAGAGAATGGAAGGGAATGGAAAGGACTCGAATGGAATGGAATAGACTCGAATTTAATGGAATGGAATGGAATGGGGTCAAACGGAATGGAATGAAATGGACTCATGTTGAATGGAAAGGAATGGACTTGAATGACATAGAATGGAAAGGAATGGAATGGACTCGAATAAAGTGGAATGGAATGGAGTCGAAAGGAATGCAATGGATTTGAGTGGAATATAAAGGAATGGACTCGAATGTAATGGAGTGGAATCGATTCGAATGGAATGGAATGCAATTGACCAGAATGGAATAGAAAGGAATGGACTCTAATGGAATGGAATTGAATGGACGCGAATGGTATTGAATGGAATATACTGAAATGTAATTGAATGGAATGGACTCCAATGGAATGAAAGGAATTGAATGGAATCAAATAGAGTGAAATAAAATTGAATGGAATAAACTCAAATGCAATGGAATTGAATGGAATGAAGCGGACTCGAAAGGAACGGTATGACATGGAATTGACTTGAATATAATGGAAAGTAATTCAATGGGCTCGAATGGAATGGAATGGAAGGGAATGGAATGGAATGGACTCGAATGGGATGGAATGGAATGGAACGGTCTCGAATGGAAAGGAATAGAATGGACAGGAATCTAATGGGAAGAAATGGAATGGAATGGACTCGAATGGAATGGAATGGAATGGACTCAAGTTCAATGGAATGGAGTGGAATGGAATGGAATGGAATGGAATGGAATGGATTCAAATAGAATGCAGTGGAATTGAATGGACCCGAAAGCAGTGCAATGGAATGGAATGGAATCGAACAGAAGGTTATAGAACGGAATGGACCCAAATGAATTGGAATGGATTTGAATGAAATGGAATGGAATAGAATGCCATCGAGTGAAGGGGAATGGAAAGGATTCGAATGGAATTGAATGGACTCGAATGAGACTGAATGCAGAGGAATGGACTCGAATGGAATGGAATGGATTGGAATAGACACGAATGGAAAGGAATGTAATAGAATGGAATGGAATGGAATGGAATGGTAAGGAATGAAATGGAATGGAATGGAATGCAATGGACTCGAATTGAATGCAGTTGAGTAAAATGGACTCAAAAAGAATGAAATGGAATGGAATGGAAGGGAATGCAATAGAATGGAAAGAATGGAATGGGATGGAATGGAATGAAAAGGACTCGAAAGGAATGGAATGGAACGGAATGAGTTCAAATGAAATGGAATGGACCCGAATGGAATGGAATGTAATGGAATCAACTCAAGTGGAATAGAATGGAATTAATTGCAATGATTAGAATGAAATGGAAGGCAGTGGAATGAACTTGAATGGCATGCAATGGATTGGAATGGAATGGAATGGACTCGAAAGGAAAGAATTGAGTTGATCCGAATGGAATGGAATGGAATGGAATGGAATGGAGAGGAATGAAATGGAATGGAGTGGAATGGAATGGACATGAATTGAATGGAATGCAATGGAATGGAATGAACTACAATGGAATTGAATGGAAGGAAATGGAATGGATTGGAATGGAAATGAATGGAATAGAATGGAAGGCAATGGAATGGATTTGAATGGAATGAAATGGAATGGAATGCAATGGAACTGAATGGAATAGAATGGAAGGCAATGGAATGGATTTGAATGGAATGAAATGTAATGGAATTGAATGGAATAGAATGGAAGGAAATAGAATGGAATCGAATGAAATGGAATGTAATGGACTTGGATGGAATGGGATGGACTTGAGTGCAATGTATTGGTAGGGAATGGACTCGAATGGAATGGAGTGGAATGGATTTTAATGGACTGGAACGGAATGGAATGGATTTGAGTCGAATGGATAATAACGGTGTGAAATGGACTTGAAAAGAATGGACTGTAATGGAATGAAACCGACTCGAATGGAATGGAATAGAAACGAAAGTACTTGAATGGAATGGGAAGGAATGGAATGGAATGGAATGGATTTGAATAGTATGGAAAAGCATTAAATGGCCTCAAAAGAATGGAATGGAATGGAATGGAATGGAATGGAATGGACTGAAATGTAATTGAATGGAATGCAATCCAATGGAATGGAATGGATGTAAATGGAATGGAATGGAAATGAATCGAGTGGAATGGAATGGCAAGGACTCGAATGTAATGAAACGGAACGTAGTGGACTCGAATGGAATGGAATGGAATGGACCCGATTGGAATGGAATGGAACGGAATGGACTCAAGTGGAATGGAGTGGTGTGGACTCAAATGGGATGGAATGCAATCTGGTGGACTCGAATGGAATGGAATATAATGGACACGAATGGAATGGACCCGTATGTCATGGAATGGAATTGAAAACACTCGACTCGAATGGGAAGGAATGGAATGGAATGGATTCGAAAGGATAAGAATGGAATGGATTCGAAAGGATAGGTATGGAATGGACCTGAATGGAATGGAACGGAATGAGCTTGAATGGAAAGGAATGGAATGGAATGGAGTGGACTCATGTGGAATGGAATGGAATGGTCTCGAATGGAATGGAATGGAATGGAATGGACTCATATGGAATCAAAAGGAATTGACCAGAATATAATGGAATGGAACGGACTCGAATTTAACGGAATTTAATGGAATCGAATGGAATTGAATAGACTCGAATGGTAAGGATTGAATGGAATGGAATGGAAAATCATGGAACCGAATGGAATGGAATGGAATTTATTGTAATGGAATGCAATGGACTCGAATGGAGTGGAATGGATTGGAATGGAATGGACACGATAAGGATGGAATGTGATGAAACGTACTGGAATGAACTGGAATGGAATCAACCCGAATGGAATGGAATGGACTCGAATGGAGTGCGATGGACTCATCCCGATTGGAATGGAAGGGAAAGCAATGGAATGGAATGGAATAGAATGGAATGGAATGGAATGGAATGGAATGGAATGGAATGGAATGGAATGGAATCGAGTGGATTGTAATGGAATCGAATAGACTAGAATGGAACGGAATGCATTCGAATGGAAAGGAAATCAATGGACCCGAAGGGAATGGAATGGAATGGAATGGAATGGAATGGAATGGAATGGAATGGAATGGATTGGACTAGAATGGAATGGAATGGTATGGAATGGAATGCACTTGAATGGAGTACAGTGGAATGGAATGGAATGGACTTGAAAGGAATGGGATGGAAATGAATGGAATGGAATGGAAAGAAAGGACTTGAATGGATTACAATGGAAATTAATGGAATGGACTCTAATGGAATGGAATGGAAAGGAATCCAATGGAATAGAATGAAATGGAATAGACTCGAATGGAATGGAATGGAATGGAATGGAATGGAATTGAATATAATGGAATGCAATGGAATAGACTTGAAAGGAATGTAATGGAATTGACTCCAGTGGAATTCAACGGAATGAACCCGAGTTAAATGGAGTGGAATTTAAAGGAAGGGAATGGTCTCGAATGGGATGGAATGGAATGGACTCAGATGGAATAGCATGGAGTGGAATGGACTCGAATGCAATGTAATGGAATGGATTGGAATGGAATGGACTCGAATGCAATGTAATAGAATGGACTAGAATGGAATGGACTCGAATGGAATGAAATGGAACAAAATGGAATGGAACGGATTGGAATCAATCGGAATGGAATGGAATGGAATGGAAGTAATGAAATGAAGCGGACTTGAATGGAATGGAGTTAAATGGAATGGACTGGAATCGAATGGAATTGAATGGAATGGACAAGAGCATAATGGAATCGAACAGGACGGAATGGAATGGAATGGAATGGACTCGAATGGAACAGAGTCGAATGGAAGGCAGTCGAATGGAATGGAATGGAATGGAATTGAATGGAATCGAAAGGAATAGAAAGGAATGGAGTGTAATGGAAAGATATTGAATGGAATGGAATGGAATGGATTGGACTCGAATGGAAAGGACTCAAATGGAATGGTCTCAAACGGAATGAACTGGAGTGGAATGGACTCGATTGGAATGGAAACGAATGGAATGGAATGGAACGAAATGGAACCTAATGGAATGAAATGTAAAGGAATAGAATTGAATGGAATCTGATGGAATGGAATGAAATGGAATGGAATCGAATGGAATAGAATCCAATGGAATGGCATCGAAAAGAATGGAGGGGAATGGAATGGACTCAAATGGAATGCGCTCAAGTGGAATAGAATTGAATGGAATGGCATCGAATGGAATGGAATGGAATGGAAAGGAATGGATCCAAATGTAATGGACTCGAATGGAATGGACTCAAATAGAATGGACTCGAAAGGAATGGTGTCGAATGGAATTGATTCGAATGAAAAGAATGGAATGGAAAGGAATGGATCCAAATGTAATGGACTCGAATGGAATGGACTCAAATAGAATGGACTCGAAAGGAATGGTGTCGAATGGAATTGATTCGAACGCAATGGAAACGAATGGAATGCAATAGTATGGAACGGAATCGAATGGAATGGAATCAAATGGAATGGACTGGAATTCAATGGAGTGGAATAGAACGGACGTGAATGTAATGGATTGCAATGTAATTGATTCGAATGGAATGGAATCGAATGGAATGTAATCAAATGGAATGGAATGGAAAACAATGGAATGGAATAGAATGGAATGCAACGGAATGGAACGGAGTGGAATCGAGTGAAATGGAATGGAATTGAATGGAATGGAATCTAATGGATTGGACTGGAATGGAATGGACTCGAAGGGAATGGACCAGAAGAAAATGGAATCGAACTGATTGGAATCTAACGGAACAGAATGGAATGGAATGGAATCGAATGGAACAGAGTCGAATGGAATGGAATCGAATGGAATGGAATTGAATGGAATCGAAGGTAATGGAATCGAATGGAATGGAATTGAATGGAATTGAAAGGAATAGAATGGATTGAAGTGTAATGGAAAGATATCGAATGGAATGGAATGGACTCGAATGGAATGGTCTTGAATGGAATGAACTTGAGTGGAGTGGATTCCAATGGAATGGAAACGAATGGAATGGAATGGAACGGAATGGAATGGAACGGCAAGGAATAGAATTGAATGGAATCTAACCGAACGGAATGGAATGGAGTGGAGTCGAATGGAATAAAATCAAATGGAATGGTATTGAACAGAATGGAATGGAATTGACTCGATGGGAATGGACTCGAATGGAATAGAATCGAATGGAATGGCATAGAATGGAATGGAATGGAACGGAACGAAATGTAATGGACTCGAATGGAATGTTCTCAAATGGAATTGATTTGAATAGAATGGATTCGAATGGAATGCAATACTATGTAATGGAGTCAAATGGAATGGAATTGAATGGAATGGACCAGAATGGAATGGACTGCAATAGAACAGACTCGAATGTAATGGATTGCAATGTAATTGATTCGAATGGATTGGAATCGAATGGAATGTAATCAAGTGGAATGCAATGGAACGCAATGTAATTTAATAGTATAAAATGCAATGGAATGGAAAGAATGGAATTCAATGGAATGGAATAGAGTGGAATCGAGTGGAATGGAATCGAATGGAATGGAATCGAATGGAATGGAGTGGATTGGAATGGACTCGAATGGAATGGACTGGAACAAAATGGAATCAAACGGATTGGAATCGAACTGAACGGAATGGAATGGAATGGAATGGAATGGAATTGGATGGAATGGACTCAATCGGAATGGAATCGAATGGAATGGAATCAAATGGAATAGAAACAAGTAGAATGGAATTGAATGGAATTGAAGGGAATATAATGGAATGGACTGTAATGGAAAGTCCTCGAACGGAGTGAAATGGAATGGACTCGAATGGAATATACTGGAATGGAATGGACTCGAATGGAATGGCCTGGAGTGGAATGTACTCGAATGGAATGCAATGGAATGGAATGCTAAGGAATAGAATGGAATGGAATCGGAAGGATAAGAATGGAATGGATTCGAAAGGATAGGTATGGAATGGACCTGAATGGAATGGAACGGAATGAGCTTGAATGGAAAGGAATGGAATGGAATGGAGTGGACTCATGTGGAATGGAATGGAATGGTCTCGAATGGAATGGAATGGAATGGAATGGACTCATATGGAATCAAAAGGAATTGACCAGAATATAATGGAATGGAACGGACTCGAATTTAACGGAATTTAATGGAATCGAATGGAATTGAATAGACTCGAATGGTAAGGATTGAATGGAATGGAATGGAAAATCATGGAACCGAATGGAATGGAATGGAATTTATTGTAATGGAATGCAATGGACTCGAATGGAGTGGAATGGATTGGAATGGAATGGACACGATAAGGATGGAATGTGATGAAACGTACTGGAATGAACTGGAATGGAATCAACCCGAATGGAATGGAATGGACTCGAATGGAGTGCGATGGACTCATCCCGATTGGAATGGAAGGGAAAGCAATGGAATGGAATGGAATAGAATGGAATGGAATGGAATGGAATGGAATGGAATGGAATGGAATGGAATGGAATCGAGTGGATTGTAATGGAATCGAATAGACTAGAATGGAACGGAATGCATTCGAATGGAAAGGAAATCAATGGACCCGAAGGGAATGGAATGGAATGGAATGGAATGGAATGGAATGGAATGGAATGGAATGGATTGGACTAGAATGGAATGGAATGGTATGGAATGGAATGCACTTGAATGGAGTACAGTGGAATGGAATGGAATGGACTTGAAAGGAATGGGATGGAAATGAATGGAATGGAATGGAAAGAAAGGACTTGAATGGATTACAATGGAAATTAATGGAATGGACTCTAATGGAATGGAATGGAAAGGAATCCAATGGAATAGAATGAAATGGAATAGACTCGAATGGAATGGAATGGAATGGAATGGAATGGAATTGAATATAATGGAATGCAATGGAATAGACTTGAAAGGAATGTAATGGAATTGACTCCAGTGGAATTCAACGGAATGAACCCGAGTTAAATGGAGTGGAATTTAAAGGAAGGGAATGGTCTCGAATGGGATGGAATGGAATGGACTCAGATGGAATAGCATGGAGTGGAATGGACTCGAATGCAATGTAATGGAATGGATTGGAATGGAATGGACTCGAATGCAATGTAATAGAATGGACTAGAATGGAATGGACTCGAATGGAATGAAATGGAACAAAATGGAATGGAACGGATTGGAATCAATCGGAATGGAATGGAATGGAATGGAAGTAATGAAATGAAGCGGACTTGAATGGAATGGAGTTAAATGGAATGGACTGGAATCGAATGGAATTGAATGGAATGGACAAGAGCATAATGGAATCGAACAGGACGGAATGGAATGGAATGGAATGGACTCGAATGGAACAGAGTCGAATGGAAGGCAGTCGAATGGAATGGAATGGAATGGAATTGAATGGAATCGAAAGGAATAGAAAGGAATGGAGTGTAATGGAAAGATATTGAATGGAATGGAATGGAATGGATTGGACTCGAATGGAAAGGACTCAAATGGAATGGTCTCAAACGGAATGAACTGGAGTGGAATGGACTCGATTGGAATGGAAACGAATGGAATGGAATGGAACGAAATGGAACCTAATGGAATGAAATGTAAAGGAATAGAATTGAATGGAATCTGATGGAATGGAATGAAATGGAATGGAATCGAATGGAATAGAATCCAATGGAATGGCATCGAAAAGAATGGAGGGGAATGGAATGGACTCAAATGGAATGCGCTCAAGTGGAATAGAATTGAATGGAATGGCATCGAATGGAATGGAATGGAATGGAAAGGAATGGATCCAAATGTAATGGACTCGAATGGAATGGACTCAAATAGAATGGACTCGAAAGGAATGGTGTCGAATGGAATTGATTCGAATGAAAAGAATGGAATGGAAAGGAATGGATCCAAATGTAATGGACTCGAATGGAATGGACTCAAATAGAATGGACTCGAAAGGAATGGTGTCGAATGGAATTGATTCGAACGCAATGGAAACGAATGGAATGCAATAGTATGGAACGGAATCGAATGGAATGGAATCAAATGGAATGGACTGGAATTCAATGGAGTGGAATAGAACGGACGTGAATGTAATGGATTGCAATGTAATTGATTCGAATGGAATGGAATCGAATGGAATGTAATCAAATGGAATGGAATGGAAAACAATGGAATGGAATAGAATGGAATGCAACGGAATGGAACGGAGTGGAATCGAGTGAAATGGAATGGAATTGAATGGAATGGAATCTAATGGATTGGACTGGAATGGAATGGACTCGAAGGGAATGGACCAGAAGAAAATGGAATCGAACTGATTGGAATCTAACGGAACAGAATGGAATGGAATGGAATCGAATGGAACAGAGTCGAATGGAATGGAATCGAATGGAATGGAATTGAATGGAATCGAAGGTAATGGAATCGAATGGAATGGAATTGAATGGAATTGAAAGGAATAGAATGGATTGAAGTGTAATGGAAAGATATCGAATGGAATGGAATGGACTCGAATGGAATGGTCTTGAATGGAATGAACTTGAGTGGAGTGGATTCCAATGGAATGGAAACGAATGGAATGGAATGGAACGGAATGGAATGGAACGGCAAGGAATAGAATTGAATGGAATCTAACCGAACGGAATGGAATGGAGTGGAGTCGAATGGAATAAAATCAAATGGAATGGTATTGAACAGAATGGAATGGAATTGACTCGATGGGAATGGACTCGAATGGAATAGAATCGAATGGAATGGCATAGAATGGAATGGAATGGAACGGAACGAAATGTAATGGACTCGAATGGAATGTTCTCAAATGGAATTGATTTGAATAGAATGGATTCGAATGGAATGCAATACTATGTAATGGAGTCAAATGGAATGGAATTGAATGGAATGGACCAGAATGGAATGGACTGCAATAGAACAGACTCGAATGTAATGGATTGCAATGTAATTGATTCGAATGGATTGGAATCGAATGGAATGTAATCAAGTGGAATGCAATGGAACGCAATGTAATTTAATAGTATAAAATGCAATGGAATGGAAAGAATGGAATTCAATGGAATGGAATAGAGTGGAATCGAGTGGAATGGAATCGAATGGAATGGAATCGAATGGAATGGAGTGGATTGGAATGGACTCGAATGGAATGGACTGGAACAAAATGGAATCAAACGGATTGGAATCGAACTGAACGGAATGGAATGGAATGGAATGGAATGGAATTGGATGGAATGGACTCAATCGGAATGGAATCGAATGGAATGGAATCAAATGGAATAGAAACAAGTAGAATGGAATTGAATGGAATTGAAGGGAATATAATGGAATGGACTGTAATGGAAAGTCCTCGAACGGAGTGAAATGGAATGGACTCGAATGGAATATACTGGAATGGAATGGACTCGAATGGAATGGCCTGGAGTGGAATGTACTCGAATGGAATGCAATGGAATGGAATGCTAAGGAATAGAATGGAATGGAATCGGAAGGAATGGAATGGAATGGAATGGAGTCAAATGGAATAGAATCTAATGGAATGGCCTTGAATGGAATGGAATGCAATGGAATGGTATAGTCTTGAATGTAATGCACTCAAGTGGAATAGAATGGAATGGAATGGCATCGAATGGAATGGAATGGAATTGAAAGGAATGGGTTGGAATGGAGTGGAATGGACCCAAATGTAATGGACTCGAATGGAATGGACTCAAATAGAGTGGACTTGAATGGAATGGTCTCGAATGGAATTTATTCAAATAGAATGGATTCGAATGAAATGCAATAGTATGGAATGGAATTAAATGAAATGGACTGCAGTGGAATGGAATGGACTGGAATAGAACGGACTCGAATGTAATTGATTGCAATTTAATTGTTTCAATTGGAATGGAAGCGAATGGAATGTAATCAAGTGGGATGGAATTGAGTGCAATTAAATGGAATAGAATGGAATGCAGTGGAAAGGAATGGAGTGGAATCGAGTGGAATGGAATCAAATGGAATGGGATCGAATGCAATTGACTGGAATGGAATGGAGTCGAATGGAATGGACTTGAACCAAATGGAATATAAAGGATTGGAATCAAATGGAATGGAAAGTAATGGAATGGAATGAAATGGACTCGAATGGAATGGAGTCGACTGGAATGAAATTGAATGGAATGGCATCAAATGGAATGGAATTGAATGGAATTGAAAGGAACAGAATGGAAAGAAGTGTAATGGAAAGATATCGAATGGAGTGGAATTC